>NC_000011.10:39756969-39908484 GCF_000001405.40 Homo sapiens | reverse complement strand
CCCCTAGCTTCAAAGATGAGAAGCAAAGTTGCAATGGTGACTTTGTAGAAAGGTGTACTTAGATGTTTTACCAGTAGTGACTTAAGTATATTGTTGGAACTCATAGGCATTCTGTGGACCCTAATATCCCTTGCAAAGGCCTAGGCTGCTGAAAGTAGCCAGAGTAGATTCTATTGTTTATAGCTAACAACCCTGGCTGATCTATCTCTTTCTCTTCCTCTCTCGCCCTTTTCTCTTCCTATTCTCCTCCTCCTTCTCCTCTTATAGATTCTGCATGGGATGATGTAGTTTTGCCTCATAATTGGCCTTTCTAGGTGGCTATTATTTTGTCCAATTATCAGTGGGCTTGCTTCTCTTAACACAAAGTGCCATCTGCAAAGACACATGTGACTTCAGTACCTACTATAACTTCAGGTTTTGACATCGGCACCACTTTCTATATTTCACATGCCCCTTTCTCTTTGGTACACTACTCTTATCACAAAATATTTTTGGAAGACACATTTATATTGGTCTGTAGGCCTACAAGGCAGTTGAGGGATCATTGAAAACATTCTTTCTACTTCAGTATGACGTTTTGCAAAATATAGTAAGAATGAATAGAAAAATCTAATAAAAAGCACAGACATCAGAAGCATGTATATTTTTATTATTAGATTCAATAGAAATATTGCATTTCTATACATATAAGAGCAAATGGGATCAAATAAAATAATTTAAAAACTATGCTTTGTATATTGAAGGTGTGCATGTAGGTGAGTAATCGAGTATTTTTAGTACATGTAAATCTGTATGGTATACAATGTCAAGTAAATTAAAAGTTAAAAGTGAAATAGCAATTTTTTTACATCAAATGCCTTCTGACATACTGCATGAACACTATGTTTATCAATATTTAAAATTTGTGATAAATGATCTTGCTTCTTCTTGTTAATTTATGCAGTCCCAGGTGGATCTGGATTATAAGTGATATGCTGCTTCTAGGTACCTACGGCATATCAGTATATTAATCTGATAGTATAAATGAATTAATAGTAAGAAAAGCTCAAAGATAAGATGTGGCTTTTTTTTTTTCCTGACAAGTTTGCAGATATGCTGTGATTCTACTTATCTAAGTTGGAGTCAGTGAGGCTTGGTGCCAGACTGTGATTTGGTTTGAGGTTGTCCCCACATTCCCACATGTTCTCCTTAGACTTACTGGGGCATGCTCCTCTTATAGTGGGTCACAGGAGCACAGCACAGAAATGTAAATGAGATACAATTTAAGCCTCTTCTTAAATTAGAGCAACTTATAATCATTGTTCTAAGCAAGTCCCATGAGCAACCTCAATACCAATAAAATGTGGAAGTACATTTCACATACTCAAGAGAAATAATTGAAAAATTAAGAGTTTTGATGCCAGAAGCCATAGAGAACAATTATCCTAATTACCACATCTACTTCCGGAAGTATCCATTTCCCTCCGTGTCAGTGCTGAAACATGATCATTGCTTAAATTACCACAAATTAGTATAAAAGCACAATGATTCTTGGTCCACATCATAGTTATGGTGTCAGGACTTCACATTCCAACTTCCCTCTGGTATCTATGTTGAAATTAAATGAAAATTTTCCATATTATCGTTCTGCTCTTGTATATTCTGCAAAATGGATAGGATAATATAGACAAAGCCTCTAGAAGCCATATAAGAACAGAATATAAATAGAATTCAAGATGAAGTGAAGGTGACAGGTGCAAATAACCTTGGAGAAAAGTGATCAGTCTCCTTTAAGTTCATGAAGGCATCACTGGCTTTGAAGAAAATATATGTACTAGCCCTCTTTACAAATCTCACAGACAAGAGAAAAATGTGAGAGCACGTTATATTTTAAAAGGACACATTATTTTTGTCTATTTAAAAAAATGCATAATCACTTCCATACCACTATTATGAGCTACAGTAGAACTATTACATTTTTATTTATAGTACCTGAACCTTTTTTGGTAATGTATCAGTGTTACTTTTTTGAGTTTGATGATTATGTTTTGCTTGTATAGAATTTCTTAGTTTGTAGAAAATACATAACAATAAATTTGAGGATATGGGGCATCGTGTTGGCAACTTAGTCTCAACAAAGCTCAGGAAAAAGTATTCTTGAACAGTTTTTGCAGTCTTTCCATAAGTTTGAGAATTGTTTCAAAAAAAAAACTTAAAAGAAAGTTATACCAAAAACAAAATGTAATGTACTTAGGAATAAATGTAATGAAAAGTATTAAGACTTTTTATGTACACATAATAAAACTTCATTAATTAAAAAAAAAAAACTAAATAGATATACCATGTTCATGAACAGGAATTTATAATATTTAAAGCTGTAAATTATCCTGATATTATTTTATTTCTTAAATATATTCTAATATACATAGTAATCATTTTTTAATGAAACTGGACATAAAAACTTCACATGGAAAAGCAAAGGGTTGAAAACAGCCAAAAAAATAAAAAATAAATTAGAGGGCTTTTTACATAGCAAATCATATTATAATGCTTCAGTAATTATCCCAGTGGTTTTTGTGTGTGTTTGTGGGGAGGGGGTAGGTATTGTCGTTTGTTTTGCCAACAATAGATAAATAGATCAATGAAGCAAAATTAAAAGTTGAGAAATAAACTAATGCACATATAGAAACATAGGTTAAAGAAAATTTGTCTCTAAGTTCAATGAAGAAAAATACATTTTTTCAAAACAGTATTTCAATAACTGGTTATGTAATTGGTTGTCTCACTAGAAGTTTTAATGTCTTTTCAAAGCCTTCACTTACATGAAAATTATGGTGATGTTTATTAATACAGATTTCATTCATTGTGCTGAAACCATGGTAGACATTTTGTAGATTAAAATGTCTGCACTTCATTCAGTCTAGACAAATTTCTTGAATTCATATATGGTAATTTCTTATAATTTTTTTCTGCCAGTCACTTCTACTTTTCAGATAATTGGTTCTTTTGTAGTGATCCTCTAATTTTCTCTTCTCTTTCTCCTTTTTATCTCTTTTTCTTTTATTATATTTACTGGGAGATTTCCACAACTTTATTTTCCAACCTTTGTATTGAGTTTTAATTTTTTCTACTATATTTTTAAATTTCCAAGGGCTGGTTTTGTTCTCTAAATATTACTTTTTACGGCGTGCCTATTTTCATATGTACAATGTGTTCTTTCTTTCCTCTGTAAAAATTAATTTTAGCTCTTTTTGCACTTTGTCTCCTTGCATTGTTCTCACTTACCCCAAAACTCTTTTAGAAATCTGTTTTGTTTTCTATATGTCCTGATAGAAAATGTGCTTAAATATCTATTGGTATTTGGCATTTAATTAATAAGCTCTAAAAAGCTGAGTGGAAGTTCTATAAGTTAGTGAGATCAGTTCACTCGTGGGCTTCACTCTAGATTTATCTGGTTGAGAAATTGTATTTGGGGACCAAAACTGCCAGGAACTTTTTGTGTATGTATATTAAATATACAATTATGTATATATACATATGAATATTTTCCCTTCTGGGAAAAATCTCCCATCTCTGGCCATAGATTATATAAACTTCTCTGTCATTATTCTGTGACCCAAGTAGAAAGTAAAAATAATAGTTAGCACATATATAGTGCTTATTGTTTGCCAAGCACTGGAATATTTATTTTACATACATTTACCCATACATTCTTTACATTAATCCAATAATTATGATTATATTGGTTTTTTAGATGAATAAATTGAGGCACAGAGAAGAAAACTAACTTACCTAAGAGATTGTTGGATATGAAGCTGAGATTCTAATTCAAGAGCATGCTTCCAAATGTGATACACCTGTTTTTTTTAACCTAGGCATTAATTTAAGCTCTCATTCATGCTTTTTTTTGCATTACATTGCCCTCAGCTGTGCCTCGTGTTTGACCAGTTCAAAGTACTTACTTATTATTGAATCTTTCTAGATAAAATACATTCATTTCTCTTCTTGTGCAGGGAAAGGGCCATTGTAGTTCTGAGTCAGGCGGGTGAAGATCAAAGTGCTAAACAACTTTTTAAAACAGACTTTCAAACTATTCTGTAGGTTTTTGTCCCCTACATTCCCATTTGCGGAGGTCTGTAGTTCAGCAAATTCTTGCACATTTCTAGGATAATCCAATGCAAAGCAGGTGGTTGTTTGTCTTTCTCTCTGGCTATCTTAAGTTTCAGCCTTCTCTGGTCTTCTAAATTTGTTACCACTATCCATCTGTTTTACATTTCCATATTTTTCCTTGCCACTTTATTTGTCCTTATATGATAATTCTTTTTTTTTAAATCACTTTACTTTTATTTCTGTGAAATTTAGAAGGAAACTGCAGTGGACATGTGTGTTTATTCTCTCATCTTTAACAAGAACCCATCTTTATTTTTCTTGATAAAGATTATTTGTGACTCACATCATATTTGTAGATGGTGGACGCTATAGCTGAGAACCATGTTGTGGATAAAGACAGTTCTCTTTTTTCAGCCTAAAATTTTCTGATCCCAGTTTGTTGAAGAGCATAACAGATCAGAGTCTGGATTTTAGAGGTTGGCTGGAAACAATGAATCTGTTACATCATCAGTGAGGGGCTTTCTATTGTGCAGACATGCAAGTCCTGAATCTAAGTTGAGGATAAGGATGACTCCTCTAGGCTCTACTCAAATGTCCAGGAACTAGAAGATGTAGGAAGATGAGCATTGATACAGTGTCTCTGTTTGCCTACTTAAAGTTCCTTCATCTTTAAGCTTCTATTGTATTAAGGCTTCACATAGAAAGCCTTTGTTTGTAATCCCAGCACTTTGGGAGGCCGAGGCGGGCGGATCACGAGGTCAGGAGATCGAGACCATCCCGTCTAAAACGGTGAAACCCCGTCTCTACTAAAAATACAAAAAATTAGCCGGATGTAGTGGCGGGCGCCTGTAGTCCCAGCTACTTGGGAGGCTGAGGCAGGAGAATGGCGTGAACCCGGGAGGCGGAGCTTGCAGTGAGCCGAGATCCCGCCACTGCACTCCAGCCTGGGCGACAGAGCGAGACTCCGTCTCAAAAAAAAAAAAAAAAAAAAAAAAAAAGAAAGCCTTTGTTTCCTTAAATGAGCTTTTGAAAAGCTCTGCTTGAAAACCAGACAAAATAACTTATTAAAAAAAAAACTAACAAGAAATTTAGGTAGTGCATTGGTTCTTAGCCTCTGCTGCACATAAAAATTAACCAGGGAGTTTTCAGAGTCCCAATTTAAAGGCTGCCCTCAAGAATAATTAAATATGAATCTCCAGGGATAGGACCTAAGTACAGTAATTTTTTTTAAGGCTGGTCAAGGGATTTCAATATGCAGCCTGGTGCATTGATCTTGTGCATTGTTTGAGCATTCTTCGACCAAACAGTGAATCTGATAAACAGATCTAGTTATCAGGCTGTTTCCCAACATCTCTGGACATTTTGGTGTGAGGCTAATTTAGTAATAGAGCAAAACTGAAGATAATTGTTCCGTGATTAAGTCTTTCACAGTTCCCTCTTGGTATGTGTCCCAGAGCTCACTCACTTCAAGCATTCCTTATTTTCTGAGAAGATGCTTTTCTAAGACCTCTTGTATTCCTACTATAGGCCTGTGAATATATATGTGTGTGTGCGTATGAATTTTTTTCTTTCTAGCGAACTTTTGGCAATTGGAGACAACTCATAGCAAGGTGACTTGGAAGGCTGAATATAAATAACTAGATCCTGAGCTGCTGCATTAGTTGGTAAAGTGGGAAAGTGAATTTCAGTACTGTTAGATTTTGTTATAAAGCAAACTCTCTCCCAAACAGCCATCTTAATTTAATTACCACATTCTCCATTACTGGCTGAATTTGTGACAATGGCAGCTTTATCTCTCTCTCTCTCTCTCTTTTATTATACTTTAAGTTCTGGGATACATGTGCAGAACGTGCAGATTTGTTACATAGGTATACACATGCCATGGTGGTTTGCTGCACCCATCAACTCATCATCTACATTAGGTATTTCTCCTAATGCTATCTCTCCCCTAGCCCCCAACCCCCCAACAGGCCCCAGCGTGTGATGTTCCCCTCCCTGTGTCTATGTGTTCTCGTTGTTGAACTCCCACTTATGAGTGAGAACATGCGGTGTTTGGTTTTATGTTTCTGTGTTAGTTTGCTGAGAATGATGGTTTCCAGCTTCATCCATGTCACTCCAAAGGACATGAACTCATCCTTTTTTATGGCAGCTTAATATTCCATGTTGTACACATGCCACATTTTCTTTATCTAGTCTATCATTGATGGGAATTTGGGTTGGTTCCAAATCTTTGCTATTGTGAACAGTGCCACAATAAATATACATGTGCATGTGTCTTTATAGTAGAATGGTTTATAATCCTTTGGGTATATACCCAGTAATGAGATCGCTGGGTCAAGTGATATTTCTGGTTTTAGATCCTTGAGGAATCTCCACACTGTCTTCCACAATGGTTGAAATAGTTTACACTCCCACCAACAGTGTAAAAGCATTCCTATTTCTTCACATCCTCGCCAGCATTTGTTGTTTCCTGACTTTTTAATGATCGCCATTCTAAGTGGTGTGAGATGGTATCTCATTGTGGTTTTGATTTGCATTTCTCTAATGACCAGTGATGATGAGCTTTTTTTCATATGTTTGTTGGCCGCATAAATGTCTTCTTTTGAGAAGTGTCTCTTCGTGTCCGTCGCCCAATTTTTGATGGGGTTGTTTGTTATGTGTCTCTCTTAATAGGAACTGATTCGAGCTCCCTCTTGAAGCGTTAGGTTCAGAGGAGCAGTGGTTGAAGTGGCTCAGTACATCACTCGACTGGAAGAGCTTTCCAGTTAATATACTGAAGGGAAGTATGAAGTGTTCCACTCCCTGCCCTCCACCCTTTTTGAAACAGCATCCTGCTGGCTCATAACTGTGTTGGGAAATACAAAGGCTCATTTAAGGAAACGGTAGGGCATATGAAAAAAGAGGAAGGGCATGGAGTTTTGAAGATTTTGAAGAAGAGAACAAATGTTAAGCTCTTTGCAATACATAAGGCACCCATTCAATGAAAAATAGAAAAATAGTCATGATGGGAATAAGCACAATGAAAAGGATAATGTCTGCTTTGAAATAAATGGAAACACCACAGTGCAAGCACATGCTTATGTTCATTTTAGGTCTAGGGAAGTGGCCTAAGTGAGGAATATAAATGCCAAGAACTCTTCCTTATTTTTATCCCCTGCCATTACCACAGATTTACATGAGGTTTATCTTCAGCCAGTGTGGGATCTGAAAGCAGTTTCAACAGAGCTGGTTCTATAGGCAAAAGACTCCTCTGACCATGTGAGGTCTTACCTGTTTTTCATTTCAATCCTAACATGCGACCCTAAAATTCTTCCACAGGATAGCTAGGAAGAATCATATTTTTGTAATGCTCGGTTTTCATCAAAAATCAGGACTTTTTCATTTATGCTTGAAATAAAACTCCTGACATTATTTAGCAATAAATAAAAACATGGCATGAATAGAACTACAGACCCCTAACAGATTCCAATTGGCCAGCCCAGGATATTAAGTGGAGTGAGCTATAGGGGGAAGAATTATGAAGAGAAACTAGGGTGCAGGAAACAAAAAGAAAATGTAATGTAGTTATCCTTTCAAAAGCTTTGTCAACCACATTCCCAAAACATTTAATGGAGTAGCTGATGTCATTATGAAATTATGTTTATTATGACAGTCAAAGAAAAAGAGCAGATGAAAGCATATTAAAATATATAACTGCACAATAATGTAGCTTGTTTTATTTTAGAGTATTGGATGATCTCATTTTTTTGAACGTACGTATTAGTAACCTTGGAAACTAATATGTAAAAATTAGTATGGTATGTGCCACATCATAGTTACTTTTATTGGTCAGAATTTGTTTGGCTCTAATTGATATCCTAAGAAGTCTTAAGAAAAAAAGCAATAAATGTATTATTGCCTCATATAATTACAAATTTCATTGTTGATCCATGAGCAATTTAGAATTACATATGTTGACTAGTAGAAATAAAAAGATGCTTATTGGAGAGGTATAATCTAGCACTCAATACTGGAAGAAGGAGGTGGGTCTAGGCCTTCAAATCATTGTTTCAAAAATTTGAAAAGGGATGATTTTCCCAAAGGAATATCAAGATGCTGTCACCAAAATAAGAGGGGATAGTAAACAGCCAAGGAGAAACATCTGTTGTTACTAACAGCAATTGCATAATGCCAATTGAATGAATGACTGTTACAAATAGGATTAAGAGGGAATGGTGAAAACAAGTGCATGGACAATTTTAGGAGTGTGGCAAAATTAGTACTATGATGGCTGAAAGGTGTACTACAGTGTGTCGCCTTTGTTTTTATTTATTGGGTTAAAAATATTTTATATTTGCAATGTAAAATAACTTCTGATTTTACTTCATATGAAGATATAATGTGTTCTCTGTGAACCATTACTGCTTAGGTCTGGGGCTCTCAAAATTAAACAGTTCTGAATCAAACCAGGGTCTCGTTTTGTTAGGTTGTTTGTTTGTTTGCATGTTTTTGTTTTACTCTTTTAAAATATTGTTTTCCATATAACCGAATCTCTGTATCTATACACATAATTTTTAATAGAGTAGAGCATTGGTGTAAAGAAATGAAAAAAATATCTAATTCTGTAACCAAGAATATTAAACACTGATACGGTGTTCTTTGTCAGACCTTGGATGTTTAGGTGAACAGTGAAATCATCCAAGTTCAATGATAACCTGAGATTGTCATTTTTTACTAGACTTCAGGATTCCCTTAGTGACCAGCCATGTCGAATTTTAGTAACAGCTCTATTTCCAGTATTTCCTATGGCTACATAGAAAAATTATACTCATTCTGAGTAGATTTTGTAAAACCTAAGAAAATAAAACAAATAAAAATAAAATAATACCAAGAGGCTCTGAGAAAATGACATTATCTCAAAAAGAGGGTACTGCATATATAGTTGGTCCTCCATAGCCGCGGGTTCTACATGGGCAGATTTAACCTTGGATGAAAAATATTCATACCCAAACATGATAAAATAGTAAAAAATATTGTAGTATAACAACTATTAACATAAGATTTAGACTGTATGACATGTTTAGACATATTTAAGTAATCCAGAGATGATTTAAAGTATTTGGGAGGATGCGCATAGGCCATATTCAAATACCACACCATTTATATAAGGTACTTGAGCATCTGCAGATCTTGGTAAGGAGCATAATCCTGGAACCCATTTCTCTTGAATACCAAGGTAGACTATGTGAGCAATAATTCCAGATCCTAGAAAACTATGGTTTCAGGAAACTTGAGATTTAAAGTATTTTAAAGATTTTATATAAAGACAACTTGATATGTCCTAATGAAACATGGAGGCTTTAAAAACGTAACTGTGTATTTTAATTTCCTGTAGCACTGGCAAGAGAATCCAAACAGAGCATACAGGGAAACTACTCAAGGAATGGTGCAGTGAAAGTTAGGAATTTTGTTAATCAATTATTTTATTCATTTACTTATATATTATACTGATATAACTATAATATAATATATCTTTCTCTAGACTTTGAGCTTCTCATGTGCAGAGACCTTGCCTCTTTTGTTCACTTCTATATTCTTAGCATTTGAGATGATGGTAGGCATATACAGAGTATTTCGAATAGTACTTGAAATGAATAAATTAATACTTGGGTAAAGACTTTTGAAAGAGTTTGAAAACCAAATTGGAACACACAAAAATTTATTGTAAATAATGTGATTTTTGTATTCTTCATTCGACCAGTTGATATATTAGAAATGGAGACTGTAATAGGATGAATTTAAAAGCAAAAGGCAGAAATGACATGTAAACATTCAAGAGTCCAATCTGAATGATTTAATTGGATTGATAGCTTAGTTTTGGAATGCAAGGACATTTCAGACTCTGCTAGTGCTCTGCTCTTCAACATTTAGGCTGAGATGGAAGGTATTGACAAGGTTTTGACGAGAACAGTTTATCTTTATTATCTTCATGCTGTGTTATGCTTGTCCAGAAACCAAACAAATGTCAACCATAGTCAGCTGCTTTGGGATGGTACCTTAACTCTTAGGCTAAGAATTCCATAAACTCTTTAGTAAAGAAAGCCTTTCTGTGGTATAGGGAATGCACTAAATTCATCCTACCCTTGGAGTAAGATTTAGCTTGCATACACACACATAATACATACATGCACAGATATTTAGATACATATTCATACATGTTTTTCCTTCATACGAGTTCAAGAATAAGGTTTTGGAGTGCTGTAATTTCTAGATTCTTTCTTTTCTTAATAGGTAAAAGAAAGAATGGGCTCCGTCAGGCAAACTTAAACGAATTTCATTAAATCCTCACTAAAGTCTTCTCCAGCTGTAAAATATCATACGTATTTATGGCAGAGTAATGTTACCAAATATTTAGTCCTCTTGGAGTTTGATAAAGTCATGTGCTTCATGTCTTTATTTCTCTGCCTATGCAACCCAAAAGACTGAATGTCCTGCAAGATGTGGCAAAACAGCAGAACTTCCATCACCCTGAATCCCAGAATTGCCACACGAACATTACTGGATATTCAGTGTAAGTGGGCAACACATTTTAGTGGATTAATCCACTGAGATTTGTATGGTTTATTTTATTATTACTTTATTTGTCTTTTGAGGCCTTATAAATGTAGTATGTAAAGTCATAGGCTTTAGTATAATGACTGCGAATATGTCAAATGCATCTCGGATTGATTTTTTTGCTTGGTTCTGTGATCTTTGTCTAAAACTTAGCTTATCACAATGTTGTCATTTTTCTTTTTTTGTTTGTTTGTTTTTTTTGTTTTCTGAGATGGAATCTCACTCTGTCACCCAGGCTGGAGTGCAGTGGCAGGATCTGGGTTCACTGCAACCTCTCTGCCTCCCGGGTTCAAGCAATTCCCTGCCTCAGCCTCCCAAGTAGCTGGGATTACAAGCGCCTGCCACCACACCTGGCTATTTTTTTCTATTTTTAGTAGAGACGGGGTTTCACTATCTTGGTCAGGCTGGTTTTGAACTCCTGACCTTGTGTTCCACCTGCGTCAGCCTCCTAAAGTGCTGGGATTACAGGTGTCAGCCACCGTGCCTGGCCCAATGTTGTCATTTTTCTGACTAATTCCAAGAAAAGTTTTGAGGATTAATCTAGAAAAAGCAATTAGCAATTTACATGGAACCTAGTAGGTGCAAAAACAAAGATAGTTTCTTTGT
Organism: Homo sapiens; assembly: GCF_000001405.40. Taxonomy (NCBI): domain Eukaryota; kingdom Metazoa; phylum Chordata; class Mammalia; order Primates; family Hominidae; genus Homo; species Homo sapiens. The sequence continues at coordinate 39,897,195 of NC_000011.10, read as the reverse complement.
CTTTTAGCTAACTTATCAACCAATCTTAGGTTGCTGGAACATTATCAAATTGATCTGTTTTCTGGAATATGAATACTTTGCCATAGAAAATAATGAGGTAAATAGTATTTCCTATTTAATTTTTTTTTTACAAAATGCAAGGTTAGTTTAATTGTATCTTCATTGTAAACTGTTTTTTAAAAACAAATAAAAGCATATTTACAATTGGGAAGTATCAATTTTTGAACCAGCAGCATTTTGCCTAATACTTGCTTCAAAAAGAACTAATTTATATATGCTATTTTATCTAGAAAGTGAGCTAGACATTTAATAGAGCATAATCTCAGTCTCACTCTGAGAAAGCTCTGGTTTCTATTTTTCCATCATTTTATTATAAATATTTCCAAACACATAGCAAAGTTGCAGTATATCCACCATCAACCATCTTATATTTTGATGCATTTCAAAGTAAACCTTTGACATCAGTATATTTCCCTTCTAATCATTTAAGCATGTATATTATGAATTAGAAATCTATATGCGTTTACCTTTTTTATATGACTTTTATTATAAAAGTAGTATGTGTTCATTTTAGAAATTGGAAGTTACAGATAAAAATATTGACAGATCTAACAGTTGGTATTTATTTGTACCAGCCATCTCAATTAATCCATTATCACACCCTACAAAATAGCATTATCCCCATTTTACAGATGAAGAATCTATGAACAAATTGCCCCAGTTCCCACAGTGGCAGAGTTAGGGAATGCACCCAGGTATGTTTCATAACCTTACTTTTTTTTTTTTTTTTTCATTTTTATGGATATTCACTTGTACATGTGATAGTTTAATACAAGCATGCCATGTGTAATGACCAAGTCTGGGTAACTGGGATATTCAACATCTCAAACTTTTATCATTTATTTGTGTTGGGAGCATTCCAAATCTATTCTTCTAGTTATTTTGAAATATACAATATTTATGGTTAACAGTAGTCACCCTATTGTTACCAAACACTAGATCTTATTTCTTTTATGTAACTGTATTTTTATACCCATAAACAACCCCTCTTTCTCCTGCCTCTACTCTGCTTTTCCCAGCCTCCAGTAGCCACCAATGTAAAACTCAGGTTTAGCAAAACAAGCATTTGCATACTTGAGAGAAAATGTTAATTTTAAGGCAACAATAAGGAAAAATGAAGTAAAGTATTTCAGTGCTTCCACTGTTCTGCAAGTAAAAACAGAACAATTAAAAAAGTATAACCACAACACAGACCTAAATTATATTCCTTTATTCTGCCAGTAATTGTGACAGCCTCAAATATGATGAAAGACTTCATCATCTTTCTGTTACAATTCATTTAATTATATGCATCTTAGCTTGGATGAGTTATTGTTATTGCTACACTGTTTTTGAGGCTTCATTGCAAATTGTGTGGGGGTGTTGGGGTGGAGTAAGAAAAAATATATTGCTACATACATTTTCTCTATATCTTTATGATGTAAAAATGGCAGTATTTTGCCCTTATTCACTGTTACATTATTTCTACAATATTTGCTACACACTTATTTTACTATTTTTTATTATAATTTTCAGAGCATTGAATAATTTTAAATTTTATCTAAGAATTTTAACTTCTGATATAGCTTTACTTATTAAAGGTTAAAAAATAATCATTTAATCTTTACTCATTAAATACTACTGAACTGAAGTGCAAAAGCTGGTATTAACAATGCAGGGTATTTTTGGTGAGTACAGAAGCAAATATATTCTACAATACATATCTGCTTGTTCAAGAATATACAATTCTGATGCATAAGGATATACTTTCTTATAATCAGCATCTAAGATCCAACTCCAAAGCAGCGTTTGCTGTGAATGAAAAATAGCTGTTACCCTATGACTCATTTACACTTTGCCCTTCTAATCAGAAACATCAGAAAAGATGGTAATTCATGTAAAAATATGACACTTCTCAGATATGTCAGGTTCTTCTAGGCTCCTTGAATAAATGGGTTCTTTGTGGCTACAGTCAGTTGACAACTGAGTTTCATTATGCACTTTGCATATATAAGTTACTTTTTAAGTGAGCACAATAAAATCTTATAAAATATATGAAAATGTTGATTCCTAGGGAGTTTACTGTCTAGCTTGAAAAGCCACTGACATACACACGAAAAATTCTAGTGGCTATCTAGATTATATTTTAATTTATCTATATTGATCATAAATACAAAGGGAAGAACTGGGTATGGACTTTCATTCTGTCACCTACCAATTTTATAATTTCTGAACCTAGGTTCCTTCATCTGCCTGGTTACATTAATAAAATGTAGAGTTGCTGTGGATAAAAGTACACATGTGGTGGCTCGTGACTATAATCTCAGGGACTTGGGACTTGGGAGGCCAAGGCAGGAGGATTGCTTGAGGCTAGGATTTTTTTTATGTTTTTAATGTTTTACTTTTTAATTTGTATGGGTACAGAGTAGTTGTGTGTATTTATAGGGTACATGAGATGTTTTGATACAGACATGCAATGGGTAATAATCACATCATGGAGAATGGGGGATCCATCCCCTCAAGCATTTATCCTTTAAATACCAGGTGTTCAATTAAGATAAATTGGGATGGAGAAGATAAAGTAACTGCAGCAGAAGTTGTAATGGTCTTCAACTGTCTATATCATCATCAGTCTTCTAGCTCAAATGACGGCTTGAATACACTGCCACAAGAAGTATTTACTGGTTCAAAAATTGAAAGCAAGTTTTCAAGTGCCAGGATGAAATCCACTGCAATAATGTAAAATGTAATTGCCCCATTTATTATTACAGAGATTACTAAAGGTCTGATGCTGTTTTTAATGGCAGTGTGTTTTAATGGCAATGTGTTTTATTTCTCTGGTGGAAAAAAGGGTTATGCTCCAGCGACCTAAAATAGCCCCACTGAGCATATTTCGCACCTCCACACAAGGCACTTGGGGATTTGTATGGGAAGAGTCCTCTTTCTTGGGTTGAAAGAGATGTGATTTGGAAAGGGAAAAGGTTGCTGAGGACAGGAAGTACCTTCCATTCAACTAAGGTCATAGGTAGCTGTTGTCCTTCTGGTACCTTCCTCTGGCCCACGGGGGCAGCAGTGGGCGAGAGGGCATTATTTAGTGGATGGAGGTAAGGAAAAAATAAAGCGTATGAAGTCGAAGGTTGAGCACTATGTGGAAAAGTTTTATTGTTAAGCAGGGAACCTGTGTCTAGGCTCTGGGGATGAGATGCCTAGACTTGGGAGGGGGTGTGGGGAGAACTAGGGTGGGTCCTTCAAAGCCAAGACACTGCAAACGCTATTTGTGCCCTTAGGATAGCAAAGTCTCTGATGGTTGCTGTTGTGCTGATGATGTGTGAACTGTCCCGGGGAGGGTCTCCTGCTTGGGATATGGTGATATAAGATGTGGTGCCCAGCTGCCCCTGCTATGCACAGGTCATGCGGGTCAGGATTGGGTGGCCCAGTCCACTTTGCACCAGTATCAGCCGGCTCATGGCCAAGTCAGGGTTTATCAGTGGCCACAGTGGTGGGAGGTGAAGACAGTGCTCTTCTCATATACTCCTTTTATTTATTATACTCCCCTGCCCATTTCTACCATCTACATCATATGGCATATGGGAACACGAAGTTTGATCCTGGACACTACCCTCAGCCTCTTGGAGCCTCAGCCTGCTCACCTCTGAGGAAGGAGGATAAATGCCCAGCACAGAATGAGCTTGACATCAGACGTGCTGAACCGCTGACCGGGGACCACCCTGACCCTGCAACCTCACAATGGGATTTTTTTCTTTTTTTATTATACTTTAAGTTTTAGGGTACATGTGCACAACATGCAGGTTTGTTACATATATATAAATGTACCATGTTGGTGTGCTGCACCCATTAACTCGTCATTTAACATTAGGTATATCTCCTAATGCTATCCCTCCCCCATCCCGCAACCCCACAACAGGCCCCGGTGTGTGATGTTCCCCTTCCGGTGTCCATGTGTTCTCATTGTTCAATTCCCACCTATGAGTGAGAACATGTAGTGTTTGATTTTTTGTCCTTGCCATAGTTTACTGAGAATGATGGTTGCCAGCTTCATCCATGTCCCTACAAAGGACATGAACTCATCCTATTTTATGGCTGCATAGTATTCCATGGTGTATATGTGCCACATTTTCTTAATCCAGTCTATCATTGTTGGACATTTGGGTTGGTTCCAAGTCTTTGCTATTGTGAATAGTGCCGCAATAAACATACGTGTGCACGTGTCTTTATAGCAGCATGATTTATAATCCTTTGGGTATATACCCAGTAATGGGATTGCTGGGTCAAATGGTATTTCTAGTTCTATATCTGTGAGGAATTGCCATACTAACTTCCACAATGGTTGAACTAGTTTACAGTCCCACCAAGAGTGTAAAAGTGTTCCTATTTCTCCACATCCTCTCCAGCACCTGTTGTTTTCTGACTTTTTAATGATCACCATTCTAACTGGTGTGAGATGGTATCTCATTGTGGTTTTGATTTGCATTTCTCTGATGGCCAGTGATGATGAGCATTTTCTTCTGTTGGCTGCATAAATGTCTTCTTTTGAGAAGTGTCTGTTCACATCCTTCACCCACTTTTTGATGGCGTTGTTTGTTTTTTTCTTGTAAATTTGTTGGAGTTCATTGTAGATTCTGGATATTAGCCCTTTGTCAGATGAGTAGATTGCAAAAATTTTCTCCCATTTTGTAGGTTGCCTGTTCACTCTGATGGTAGTTTCTTTTGCTGTGCAGAAGCTCTTTAGTTTAATTAGATCCCATTTGTCAATTTTGTCTTTTGTTGCCATTGCTTTTGGTGTTTTAGATGCAAAGTCCTTGCCCATGCCTATGTTCTGAATGGTATTGCCTAGGTTTTCTTTTAGGTTTTTATGGTTTTAGGCCTAACATTCAAATCTTTAATCCATCTTGAATTAATTTTAGTATAAGGTGTAAGGAGGGGATCCAGTTTCAGCTTTCTACATATGGCTAGCCAGTTTTCCCAGCACCATTTATTAAATTGGGAATTATTTCCCCATTTCTTGTTTTTGTCAGATTTGTCAAACATCAGATGGTTGTAGATATGTGGCATTATTTCTGAGGGTTCTGTTCTGTTCCATTGGTCTATATCTCTGTTTTGGTACCAGTACCATGCTGTTTTGGTTACTGTAGCCTTGTAGTATAGTGTGAAGTCAGGTAGTGTGATGCCTCCAGCTTTGTTCTTTTGGTTTAGGATTGACATGGCAATGCAGGCTCTCTTTTGGTTCCATATGAACTTCAAAATAGTTTTTTCCAGTTCTGTGAAGAAAGTCATTGGTAGCTTGATGGGGATGGCATTGAATCTATAAATTACCTTGGGCAGTATGGCCATTTTCACGATATTGATTCTTCCTACCCATGAGCATGGAATGTTCTTCCATTTGTTTGTATCCTCTTTTATTTCATTGAGCAGTGATTTGTAGTTCTCCTTGAAGAGGTCCTTCATATCCCTTGTAAATTGGATTCCTAGGTATTTTATTCTCTTTGAAGCAGTTGTGAATGGGAGTTTACTCATGATTTGGCTCTCTGTTTGTCTGTTATTGGTGTATAAGAATGCTTGTGATTTTTGCACATTGATTTTGTATCCTGAGACTTTGCTGAAGTTGCTTATCAGCTTAAGGAGATTTTGGGCTGAGACAATGGGGTTTTCTAAATATACAATCATGTCATCTGCAAAAAGGGACAATTTGTTTTCCTCTTTTCCTAACTGAATACCATTTATTTCTTTCCCCTGCCTGATTGCCCTGGCCAGAACTTCCAATACTATGCTGAACAGGAGTGGTGAGAGAGGGCATCCCTGTCTTGTGCCAGTTTTCAAAGGGAATGCTTCCAGTTTTTTCCCATTCAGTATGATATTGGCTGTGGGTTTGTCATTGGTAGCTCTTATTATTTTGAGATATGTCCCATCAATACCTAATTTATTGAGAGTTTTTAGCATGAAGGGTTGTTGAATTTTGTCAAAGGCCTTTTCTGCATCTATTGAGATAATCATGTGGTTTTTGTCTTTGGTTGTGTTTCTATGCTGGATTACGTTTATTGATTTTCATATGTTGAACCAGCCTTGTATCCCAGGGATGAAGCCCACTTGAGCATGGTGGATAAGCTTTTTGATGTGCTGCTGGATTCGGTTTGCCAGTATTTTATTGGGGATTTTTGCATCAATGTTCATCAGGGATATTGGTCTAAAATTCTCTTTTTTTGTTGTGTCTCTGCCAGGCTTTGGTATCAGGATGATGCTGGCCTCATAAAATGAGTTAGGGAGGATTCCTTCTTTTTCTATTGATTGGAATATTTTCAGAAGGAATGGTACCAGCTCCTCCTTGTACCTCTGGCAGAATTCAGCTGTGAATCCATCTGGTCCTGGACTTTTTTTGTTGGTAAGCTATTAATTATTGCCTCAATTTCAGAGCCTGTTATTGGTCTATTCAGGGATTCAGCTTCTTTCTGGTTTAGTCTTGGGAGCGTGTATGTGTCCAGGAATTCATCCATTTCTTCCAGATTTTCTAGTTTATTTGCATAGAGGTGTTTATAGTATTATCTGATGGTAGTTTGTATTTCTGTGGGATCAGTGGTGATATCCCCTTTATCATTTTTTCTTCCGTCTGTTTGAGTCTTCTCCTCTCTTTTTTTCTTTATTAGTCTTGCTAGTGGTCTATCAATTTTGTTGATCTTTTCAAAACACCAGCTCCTGGATTCATTGATTTTTTCAAGGGTTTTTTGTGTCTCTATTTCCTTCAGTTCTGCTCTGATCTTAGTTATTTCTTACCTTCTGCTACCTTTTGAAGGTGTTTGCTCTTGCTTCCCTAGTTCTTTTAATTGTGATGTTAGGGTGTCAATTTTTTATCTTTCCTGCTTTCTCTTGTGGGCATTTAGTGCTATAAATTTCCCTCTACTCACTGCTTTGAATGCGTCCCAGAGATTCTGGTATGTTGTGTCTTTGTTCTGGTTGGTTTCAAAGAACATCTTTATTTCTGCCTTCATTTCGTTATGTACCCAGTAGTCATTCAGGAGCAGGTTGTTCAGTTTCCATGTAGTTGAGCGGTTTTGAGTGAGTGTCTTAATCCTGAGTTCTAGTTTGATTGCACTGTGGTCTGAGAGATAGTTTGTTATAATTTCTGTTCTTTTACATTTGCTGAGTGTGCTTTACTTCCAACTATGTGGTCAGTTTTGGAATACGTGTGGTGTGGTGTTGAAAAGAATGTATATTCTGTTGATTTGGGGTGGAGAGTTCTGTAGATGTGTATTAGGTCCACTTGGTGCAGAGCTGAGTTCAGTTCCTGGATACCCTTGTTGACTTTCTGTCTCGTTGATCTGTCTAATGTTGACAGTGGGGTGTTAAAGTCTCCCATTATTACTGTGTGAGAGTCGAAGTCTCTTTGTAGGTCTCTAAGGACTTGCTTTATGAATCTGGGTGCCCCTGTATTGGGTGCATATATATTTATGGTAGTTAGCTCTTCTTGTTGAATTGATCCCTTTACCATTATGTAATGGCCTTCTTTGTCTCTTTTGATCTTTGTTGGTTTAAAGTCTGTTTTATCAGAGACTAGGATTGTAACCCCTGCCTTTTTTTGCTTTCCATTTGCTTGGTAGATCTTCCTCCATCCCTTTATTTTGAGTCTTTTTGTGTCTCTGCACGTGAGATGGGTTTCCTGAATACAGCACACTGGTGGGTCTTGAGTCTTTATCCAATTTGCCAGTCTGTGTCTTTTAATTGGAGCATTTAGCCCATTTATATTTAAGGTTAATATCGTTATGTGTGAATTTGATCCTGTCGTTGTGATGTTAGCTGGTTATTTTGCTCACTAGTTGATGCAGTTTCTTCCTAGCCTCGATGGTCTTTACAGTTTGGCATGATTTTGCAGTGGCTGGTACTGGTTGTTCCTTTCCATGTTTAGTGCTTCCTTCAGGAGCCCTTTAAGGCAGGCCTGGTGGTGACAAAATCTCTCAGCATTTGCTTGTCTGTAAAGTATTTTATTTCTCCTTGACTTATGAAGCTTAGTTTGGCTGGGTATGAAATTCTGGGTTGAAAATTCTTTCCTTTAGAAATGTTGAATATTGGCCCCCACTGTCTTCTGGCTTGTAGAGTTTCTGCTGAGAGATCCACTGTTAGTCTGATGGGCTTCCCTTTGTGGGTAACCTGACCTTTCTCTCTGGCTGCCCTTAACATTTTTTCCTTCATTTCAACTTTGGTGAATCAGACAATTATGTGTCTTGGAGTTGCTCTTCTCGAGGAGTGTCTTTGTGGCATTCTCTGTATTTCCCGAATTTGAAAGTTGGCCTGCCTTGCAAGGTTGGGGAAGTTTTCCTGGATAATATCCTGCAGAGTGTTTTCCAACTTGGTTCCATTCCCCCCTCACTTTCTGTCAGGTACACCAATCAGACATAGATTTGGTGTTTTCACATAGTCCCATATTTCTTGGAGGCTTTGTTCGTTTCTTTTTATTCTTTTTTCTCTAAACTTCTCTTCTTGCTTCATTTCATTCTTTTGATCTTCCATCACTGATACCATTTCTTTCAGTTGATCAAATTGGCTACTGAGGCTTGTGCATTCGTCACGTAGTTCTCGTGCCGTGGTTTTGAGCTCCATCAGGTCCTTTGAGGACTTCTCTGCTTTGGTTATTCTAGTTAGCCATTTGTCTAATCTTTTTTCAAGGTTTTTAACTTCTTTGCCATGGGTTTGAACTTCCTCCTTTAGCTCAGAGTCGTTTGATTGTCTGAAGCCTTCTTCTCTCAACTCGTCAAAGTCATTCTCCGTCCAGCTTTGTTCTGTTGCTGGTGAGGAGCTGCATTCCTTTGGAGGAGGAGAGGCGCTCTGATTTTTAGAATTTTCAGTTTTTCTGCTGTTTTTTCCCCATCTTTGTGGTTTTATCTACCTTTGGAAAGCAGAAACCTATTTAGTTTGTTGTTAAATGATTACAGTGAACTAGAATATTAGAAAGGGGGAAATCAGATTCTCTATTGGAATTTAGAACACAGCTATTTGAGGAGTTTGATCAGCGTTTCTCCTTAGGGTAAAATATATATAACAGTGAAAGGATTGAAAAATCCCCATTAAGTGTAAAATTTTGAAATATTCATTTTAATAGTATTTTGCCCATATAGTTTTCACTACAGGAAAGCTGTTTCTTCTACTTTGACAATTCTTCCCACATGGATTTTACAATAATGTTGGGCTAATACAATGTGAAACACAGCAAACAACCCTAACTGTTCGTATCATCTTTTTCCACAAGGTGAAGTAACAGATATTGGGGTTTGTCTAGGAAATCTATGGGAGGGGGGAAGGCTCCTGAATTGAATTAATTTTTTTCTAAATTTGGTATCTACTACTTTAGGCAACCCTCCCCCTCCCCTACAAAATAAAGCAGACCTTATGTTTCAAGATAGGCTCAAGGGTCCTGAGAAAAAACACTTGGTTATTGTTTTAATCAAAGTGATGGCATGCTTTAAATAAACACAAAAGATAGTAACAGTTTTGTAAGAAACTTTAGGTTTTTCGTAAGTGAGGAATTTTTCAAAAAATTAGCCAGTTGCATAATAAAATGAAAACTAAGAAAAGTACGTTTTTCAATGAGATATAGACTCTTTGCTATGTGGAAAATATACCTAAAAGATTAAACAATGATATTTTATTATTCCTTTAGAGTTTCTAACGCTTACTTATCAACTTAACAGAAAAAGTCACATTTCACTTTCATATTGATAAATATTTGGCATGACCACCTACCCTCATTACTGACCCCCTTAAATTATGTGGTGAATAAATTCATCAAAACTCAGTGAACTTTGCCAAAATATAAATTATCTCAGCTTTTTTTCAGGCTTAGATATTTTAAACGAAGGCAAACAAAATTAACATCCTTCATACCTTCTCCTACTTGCTGTACACACTAAAGTTTCCTCCTTTTGTGTTTTTTTTATTTTATTATTCTGGATCAAACTTGTATTTCATTTTAAGATAAAACTACTCTCTTTTTTCCTAGAAAAACAAAACCTCAGCTTTACATACACATTGCTTTCCTCAATCATCATTGCTTTTCATGTAGTCTCAATAACCCATGTTAGTTATAACTTTATTATTATTATTATTGTTATTATTATTATTATACTTTAAGTTTTAGGGTACATGTGCACAATGTGCAGGTTAGTTACATATGTATACATGTGCCATGCTGGTGCGCTGCACCCACTAACTCGTCATCTAGCATTAGGTATATCTCCCAATGCTATCCCTCCCCTATCCCCCCACCCCACAACAGTCCCCAGAGTGTGATATTCCCCTTCCTGTGTCCATGTGTTCTCATTGTTCAATTCCCACCTATGAGTGAGAATATGCGATGTTTGGTTTTTTGTTCTTGTGATAGTTTACTGAGAATGATGATTTCCAATTTCATCCATGTCCCTACAAAGGACATTAACTCATCCTTTTTTATGGCTGCATAGTATTCCATGGTGTACATGTGCCACATTTTCTTAATCCAGTCTATCATTGTTGGACATGTGGGTTGGTTCCAAGTCTTTGCTATTGTGAATAATGCCGCAATAAACATACGTGTGCATGTGTCTTTATAGCAGCATGATTTATAGTCCTTTGGGTATATACCCAGTAATGGGATGGCTGGGTCAAATGGTATTTCTAATTCTAGATCCCTGAGGAATCGCCACACTGACTTCTACAATGGTTGAACTAGTTTACAGTCCCACCAAGAGTGTAAAAGTGTTCCTATTTCTCCACATCCTCTCCAGCACCTGTTGTTTCCTGACTTATTAATGATTGCCATTCTAACTGGTGTGAGATGATATCTCATTGTGGTTTTGATTTGCATTTCTCTGATGGCCAGTGATGGTGAGCATATTTTCATGTGTTTTTTGGCTGCATGAATGTCTTCTTTTGAGAAGTGTCTGTTCGTGTCCTTCGCCCACTTTTTGATGGGGTTATTTGTTTTTTCTTGTAAATTTGTTTGAGTTCATTGTAGATTCTGGATATTAGCCCTTTGTCAGATGAGTAGGTTGCGAAAATTTTCTCCCATTTTGTAGGTTGCCTGTTCACTCTGATGGTAGTTTCTTTTGCTGTGCAGAAGCTCTTTAGTTTAATTAGATCCCATTTGTCAATTTTGTCTTTTGTTGCCATTGCTTTTGGTGTTTTAGACATGAAGTCCTTGCCCATGCCTATGTCCTGAATGGTATTGCCTAGGTTTTCTTCTAGGGTTTTTATGGTTTTAGGTCTAGCGTTTAAGTCTTTAATCCATCTTGAATTCATTTTTGTATAAGGTGTAAGGAAGGGATCCAATTTCAGCTTTCTACATATGGCTAGCCAGTTTTCCCAGCACCATTTATTAAATAGGGAAACTTTTCCCCATTTCTTGTTCTTCTCAGGTTTGTCAAACATCAGATAGTTGTAGATATGTGGCCTTATTTCTGAGGGCTCTGTTCTGTTCCATTGATCTATATCTCTGTTTTGGTACCAGTACCATGCTGTTCTGGTTACTGTAGCCTTGTAGTATAGTTTGAAGTCAGGTAGTGTGATGCCTCCAGCTTTGTTCTTTTGGCTTAGGATTGACTTGGCAATGCAGGCTCTTTTTTGGTTCCATATGAACTTTAAAGTAGTTTTTTCCAATTCTGTGAAGAAAGTCATTGGTAGCTTGATGGGGATGGCATTGGATCTATAAATTACCTTGGGCATTATGGCCATTTTCACGATATTGATTTTTCCTACCCATAAGCATGGAATGTTCTTCCATTTGTATCCTCTTTTATTTCACTGAACAGTGGTTTGTAGTTCTCCTTGAAGAGGTCCTTCACATCCCTTGTGAATTGGATTCCTAGGTATTTTATTCTCTTTGAAGCAATTGTGAATGGGAGTTCACTCATGATTTGGCTCTCTGTTTGTCTGTTGTTGGTGTATAAGAATGCTTGTGATTTTTGTACATTGATTTTGTATCCTGAGACTTTGCTGAAGTTGCTTATCAGCTTAAGGAGATTTTGGGCTGAGACAATGGGGTTTTCTAGATATACAATCATGTCATCCGCAAACAGGGAAAATTTGACTTCCTCTTTTCCTAATTGAATACCCTTTATTTCCTTCTCCTGCCTAATTGCCCTGGCCAGAGCTTTCAACACTATGTTGAATAGGAGTGGTGAGAGAGGGCATCCCTGTCTTGTGCCAGTTTTCAAAGGGAATGCTTCCAGTTTTTGCCCATTCAGTATGATATTGACTGTGGGTTTGTCATAGATAGCTCTTATTATTTTGAAATACGTCCCATTAATACCTAATTTATTGAGAGTTTTTAGCATGAAGCGTTGTTGAATTTTGTCAAAGGCCTTTTCTGCATCTATTGAGATAATCATGTGGTTTTTGTCTTTGGTTCTGTTTCTATGCTGGATTACATTTATTGATTTGTGTATATTGAACCAGCCTTCCATCCCAGGGATGAAGCCCACTTGATCATGGTGGATAAGCTTTTTGATGTGCTGCTGGATTGGTTTTGCTAGTATTTTATTGAGGATTTTTGCATCAGTGTTCATCAAGAATATTGGTCTAAAATTCTCTTTTTTTGTTGTGTCTCTGCCAGGCTTTGGTATCAGGATGATGCTGGCCTCATAAAATGAGTTAGGGAGGATTCCCTCCTTTTCTATTGATTGGAATAGTTTCAGAAGGAATGGTATCAGTTCCTCCTTGTACCTCTGGTAGAATTCGGCTGTGAATCCATCTGGTCCTGGACTCTTTTTGGTTGGTAAACTATTGATTATTGCCACAATTTCAGATCCTGTTACCGGTCTATTCAGAGATTCAACTTCTTCCTGGTTTAGTCTTGGGAGAGTGTATGTGTCGAGGAATTTATCCATTTCTTCTAGATTTTCTAGTTTATTTGCGTAGAGGTGTTTATAGTATTCTCTGATGGTAGTTTGTATTTCTGTGGGATTGGTGGTGATATCCCCTTTATCATTTTTTATTGTGTCTATTTGATTCTTCTCTCTTTTTTTCTTTATTAGTCTTGCTAGTGGTCTATCAATTTTGCTGATCCTTTCAAAAAATCAGCTCCTAGATTCACTAATTTTTTGAAGGTTTTTTTGTGTCTCCATTTCCTTCAGTTCTGCTCTGATTTTAGTTATTTCTTACCTTCTGCTACCTTTTGAATGTATTTGCTCTTGCTTCTCTAGTTCTTCTAATTGTGATGTTAGGGTGTCAATTTTAGATCTTTCCTGCTTTCTCTTGTGGGCATTTAGTGCTATAAATTTCCCTCTACTCACTGCTTGGAATGCGTCCCAGAGATTCTGGTATGTTGTGTCTTTGTTCTCTTTGGTTTCAAAGAACATCTTTATTTCTACCTTCATTTCGTTATGTATCCAGTAGTCATTCAGGAGCAGGTTGTTCAGTTTCCATGTGGCTGAGCGGTTTTGAGTGAGATTCTTAATCCTGAGTTCTAGTTTGATTGCACTGTGGTCTGAGAGATAGTTTGTTATAATTTCTGTTCTTTTACATTTGCTGAGGAGAGCTTTACTTCCAACTATGTGGTTAATTTTGGAATAGGTGTGGTGTGGTGCTGAAAAAAATGTACATTCTGTTGATTAGGGGTAGAGAGTTCTGAAGATTTCTATTAGGTCCACTTGGTGCAGAGCTGAGTTCAATTCCTGGGTATCCTTGTTGACTTTCTGTCTCGTTGATCTGTCTAATGTTGACAGTGGGGTGTTAAAGTCTCCCATTATTACTGTGTGGGAGTCTAAGTCTCTTTGTAGGTCACTCAGGACTTGCTTTATGAATCTGGGTGCCCCTGTATTGGGTGCATATATATTTAGGATAGTTAGCTCTTCTTGTTTAATTGATCCCTTTACCATTATGTAATGGCCTTCTTTGTCTCTTTTGATGTGTGTTGGTTTAAAGTCTGTTTTATCAGAGACTAGGATTGCAACCCCTGCCTTTTTTGTTTTCCATTTGCTTGGTAGATCTTCCTCCATCCTTTTATTTTGAGCCTATATGTGTCTCTGCATGTGAGAAGAGTTTCCTGATTACAGCACACTGATGGGTCTTGACTCTTTATCCAATTTGCCAGTCTGTGTCTTTTAATTGGATCATTTAGTCTATTTACATTTAAAGTTAATATTGTTATGTGTGAGTTTGATCCTGTCATTATGATGTTAGCTGGTTATTTTGCTCACTAGTTGATGCAGTTTCTTCCTAGTCTGGATGGTCTTTACGTTTTGGTGTGGTTTTGCAGTGGCTGGTACTAGTTTTTCCTTTCCATGTTTAGTGCTTCCTTCAGGAGCTCTTTTAGAGCAGGCCTGGTGGTGACAAAATCTCTCAGCATTTGCTTGTCTGTAAAGTATTTTATTTCTCCTTGACTTATGAAGCTTAGTTTGGCTGGGTATGAAATTCTGGGTTGAAAATTCTTTTCTTTAAGAATGTTGAATATTGGACCTCACTCTCTTCTGGCTTGTAGAGTTTCTGCCGAGCGCTCCACTGTTAGTCTGATGGGCTTCCCTTTGTGGGTAACCTGACCTTTCTCTCTGGCTGCCCTTAACATTTTTTCCTTCATTTCGACTTTGGTGAATCTGACAAGTATGTGTCTTGGAATTGCTCTTCTCGAGGAGTATCTTTGTGGCATTCTCTGTATTTCCTGAATCTGAATGTTGGCCTGCCTTGCTAGATTGGGGAAGTTCTCCTGGATAATATCCTGCAGAGTGTTTTCTGACTTGGTTCCATTCTCCCCATCACTTTCAGGTACACCAATCAGATGTAGATTTGGTGTTTTCACATAGTCCCATATTTCTTGGAGGCTTTGTTCATTTCTTTTTGTTCTTTTTTCTCTAAACTTCCCTTCTCGCTTCATTTCATTCATTTCATCTTCCATCGCTGATACCCTTTCTTCCAGTTGATCTCATCAGCTCCTGAAGCTTCTGCATTCTTCACATAGTTCTCGAGCCTTGGTTTTAAGCTCCATCAGCTCGTTTAAGCACTTCTCTGTATTGGTTATTCTAGTTATACATTCTTCTAAATTTTTTTCAAAGTTTTCAACTTCTTTGCCTTTGGTTTGAATGTCCTCCCGTAGCTCGGAGTAATTTGATCTTCTGAAGCCTTCTTCTTTCAACTCATCAAAGTCATTCTCCGTCCAGCTTTGTTCCGTTACTGGTGAGAAACTGCGTTCCTTTGGAGGAGGAGAGGCGCTCTGCATTTTAGAGTTTCCAGTTTTTCTGTTCTGTTTTTTCCCCATCTTTGTGGTTTTATCTACTTTTGGTCTTTGATGATGGTGATGTACAGATGGGTTTTTGGTGTGGATGTCCTTTCTGTTTGTTAGTTTTCCTTCTAACAGCCAGGACCCTCAGCTGCAGTTCTGTTGGGGTGCCTCCCAGTTAGGCTGCTCAGGGGTCAGGGGTCAGGGACCCACTTGACGAGGCAGTCCGCCCATTCTCAGATCTCCAGCTGCATGCTGGGTGAACCACTGCTTTCTTCAAAGCTGTCAGACAGGGACATTTAAGTCTGCAGAGGTTACTGCTGTCTTTTTGTTTGTCTGTGTCCTGCCCCCAGAGGTGGAGCCTACAGAGGCAGCGAGGCCTCTTTGAGCTGTGGTGGGATCCACCCAGTTCGAGCTTTCCAGCTGCTTTGTTTACCTATGCAAGCCTGGGCAATGGCGGGCGCCCCTCCCCCAGCCTCACTGCCACGTTGCAGTTTGATCTCAGACTGCTGTGCTAGCAATCAGCAAGACTCCGTGGGCGTAGGACCCTCTGAGCCATGTGTGGGATATAATCTCCTGGTGCGCTGTTTTTTAAGCCCATCGGAAAAGCACAGTGTTTGGGTCAGAGTGACCCGATTTTCCAGGTGCCATCTGTCAACCACTTTCTTTGACTAGGAAAGGGAACTCCCTGACCCCTGGCGCTTCCCGAGTGAGGCAGTGCCTCTCCCTGCTTCGGTTTACTCATGGTGCATGTACCCACTGACCTGCGCCCACTGTCTGGCACTCCCTAGTGAGATGAACCCGGTATCTCAGATGGAAATGCAGAAATCACCCATCTTCTGCGTTGCTCACGCTGGGAGCTGTAGACCAGAGCTGTTCCTATTTGGCCATCTTGGCTTCTCTTCCCTAGTTATAACTCTTAACTAAAATAACTATCTTTTATTGCAAAGAAAACAACTGGATAATAGTACTGAGAATTGTCTGTCATATATAATCATGATTGTAGAAGACAAGCTCATACACGTAAGTATAGCCATATGTATCCCTTTTTCATCCTGTCAAAATGATAAGAAGGAAAAGGTTCATTAACATTACCCTAAGAGATGGCCACTCCATACCACATGCAAATAAGAAACTATAAAATTAAAATTATGTTTATAAGCCATCTTTCACTATTTAATATCCCTTAGAAATTAGCTAAGAATCCAGGGGGCTGGGCGCGGTGGCTCATGCCTGTAATCCCAACACTTTGGGAGGCCGAGGTGGGCGGATGACGCTTTCAGGACATTGAGACCATCCTGGCGAACACGGTGAAACCCCATCTGTACTAAAAAAATACAAAAAATTATCCAGGTGGTGGGTGCCTGTATTTCCAGCTACTCTGGAGGCTGAGGCAGGAGAATGGCGTGAACCTGTGAGGCAGAGGTTGCAGTGAGCCGAGACCGCGCCACTGCACTCCAGCCTGGGCGAAAGAGTGAGACTCCGTCTCAAAAAAAAAAAAAAAGAAATTAGCTGAAAATCCGAAGATTATCCATTAACATTTTAATATTAGTTCATGAATTTTAGTTATCTAAGGATCTTAGAAATATTTATTATAATATAGTGCAAAACATATTTATACTTTGTAAGCTTGTCAGAATTATGATTCCACTTAATTAAATCTACATTTATATTTTTTATGATCTTGAACATTATGTAAGTCTTATATTGGTAATCCAGTACAAGTTTAGAAATTTCAGATTAATTTACCTCTTAGTGAGAAAGCAAATCCAAATTTCACATAAAAGAAAACTTTAGAAATCATGCAAATATATCTTGTATATAATCTTATAAAATGTTTATATTTTACTCCATATTGAAACTCAAAAAATTGACATATAGCTATCATTAATATTTTAAATACAAAATTATTGATAGCATAATTTGCAAAATTCATCTTGATTATTCTTGGATTTTTAAAATGTTTCTAAGATATCAGTGTCTGCGATAAAGATTTGTCTCAATAATTTTAAAGTGTTATGAGTCCATTCTATTTATTTTCTGGGAAATTTTGAAATACTTAAATTTTTATCGATGCTTATTTATATTTATAAAATAATCAGAAGACAACTAATTTAAGCAATAGTATATTCAAATTTTTAATCCCTGAAGGTAGGAAACTATTTCACACTTATAATGAAATGTAAAAGCCTTACTCAACTACAGATGCACAGACACATACACAACTTATATTTTGTTCTTTTGTTAAAAATTATACTTTAAGTTCTGGGATATGTGTGCAGAACGTGCAGGTTTGTTACATAGGTATATATATGCCATGGTGGTTTGCTGCACCCATCAACCCATCATGTACATTAGGTATTTCTCCTAATGCTATCCCTCCTATAGTCCCACATTCCCTGACAGGCCCCATTGTGTGATGTTCCCATCCCTGTGTCTGTGTGTTCTCCTTGTTCACCTCCCACTTATGAGTAAGAATATGCAGTGTTTGGTTTTCTGTTCCAGTGTTACTTTGCTGAGAATGATGGTTTCCAGCTTCATCCATATCCCTACAAAGGCAATAAACTCACCCTTTTTTATGGCTGCATAGTATTCCATGGTGTACACATGCCACATTTTCTTTATCCAGTCTGTCATTGATGGGAATTTGGGTTGGTTCCAAGTCTTTGCTATTGTGAATAGTGCTGCAATAAACATATGTGTGCATGTGTCTTTCTGGTGGAATGATTTATATTCCTTTGGCTATATCATGAGTAATGGGATTACTGGGTCAAATGCTATTTCTGGTTCTAGAGCCTTGAGGAATCACCACACTGTCTTCCACACTGGTTGAACTAATTTACACTTCCACCAACAGTGTAAAAGTGTTTCTGTTTCTCCACATCCTCTCTAGTATCTGTTGTTTCCTGACTTTTTAATGATTGCCATTCTAACTGGCATGAGATGGTATCTCATTGTGGTTTTTATTTGAATTTCTCTAATGTCCAGTGATCATGAGTTTTTTTCATGTTTGTTGGCTGCATAAATCTCTTCTTTTGAGAAATGTCTGTTCATATCCTTCACCCACTTTTTGATGGGGTTATTTGTTTTTTTCTTGTAAATTTCTTAAAAGTTCTTTGTAGATTCTGGATATTAGCCCTTTGTCAGATGGATGAATTGCAGAAATTTTCTTCCATTCTGTAGGTTGCCTGTTCACTCTGATAATAGTTTCTTTTGCTGTGCAGAAGCTCTTTAGTTTAATTAGATCCCATTCCTGAATTTTGGCTTCTGTTGCCGTTGCTTTTGGCATTTTAGTAATGAACTCTTTGCCCATGCCTATGTCCTGAATGGTATTGCCTAGGTTTTCTTCTAGGGTTTTTATGGTTTTAGGTCTAATATTTAAGTCTTTAATCCACCTTGAGTTAATTTTTATGTAAGGTGTAAAGAAGGGGTCCAGTTTCATTTTTCTGCATATGGATAGCCAGTTTTCCCAACACCATTTATTAAATAGGGAATCCTTTCCCCATTGCTTGTTTTTGTCTGGTTTGTAAAAGATCAGATGGTTGTGGATGAGTGGAGTTATTTCTGAGACCTCTGTTCTGTTCCATTGGTCTATATATCTGTTTTGGTACCAGTACCATGATGTTTTGGTTACTGTAGCCTTAAGTCAGGTAGCATAATGCCTCCAGCTTTATTCTTTTTGCTTAGGATTGTCTTGGCTATACGGGTTCTTTTTTGGTTCCATAGGAAATTTAAAGTAGTTTTTTCTACATCTATGATAAAAGTCAATGGTAGCTTGATGGTGATAGCATTGAATCTATAAATTACTTTAGGTAATGTGGCTGTTTTCATGATATTGATTCTTCCTATCCATGAGCATGGAATGTTTTTCCATTTGTTTGTGTCCTCTTTTATTTCCTTGAGCAGTGGTTGTAGTTCTCCTTGAAGAGGTCCTTCACATCCCTTGTAAGCTGTATTCCTAGGCATTTTATTCTCTTTGTAGCAATTGTGAATGGGAGTTCACTCATGATTTGGCTCTCTGTTTATCTATTATTGGTGTATAGAAATGCTTGTGATTTTTGCACACTGATTTTGTATCCTGAGACTTTGCTGAAGTTGCTTTTCAGCTTAAGGAGATTTTGGGCTGAAACGATGGAGTTTTCTAAATATACAATCATGTCATCTGCAAACAGAGAAAATTTGACTTTCACTCTTCTTATTTGAATACCTTTATTTCTCTTGCCTGATTGTCCTGGCCAGAACTTCCAATACTATGTTGAGTAGAAGTGGTGAGAGAGGGCATCCTTGTCTTGGGCTGGTTTTCAAAGGTAATGCTTCCAGCTTTTGCCCTTTCAGTATGATATTGGCTGTGGGTTTGTCATAAATAGTTCTTATTATTTTGAGATACATTCCATCAATACCTAGCTTATTGGGAGTTTTTAGCATGAATGGGGTGTTGAATTTTATTGAAGGCCTTTTCTGCATCTATTGAGATCATGTGGTTTTGTCATTGGTTCTGTTTATGTAATAGATTACATTTATTGATTTGTGTACGTTGAACCAGCCTTGCATCCCAGAGATGAAGCTGACTTGTTCATGAGGGGTAAGCTTTTGATGTGCTGTCAGATTCAGTTTGCCAGTATTTTATTGAGGATCTTTGCATCAATGTTCATCAGGGATATTGTCCTGAAATTTCCTTTTTTTGTTGTATCTCTACCAGGTTTTGGTATCAGGATGATACTGGCCTCATAAAATGAGTTAGGGAGGAGTCCCTCTTTTTCTACTGTTTGGAATAGTTTCAGAATGAATGGTAGGGACCAGCTCCTCTTTGTATCCCTGGTAGAATTCAGCTGTGAATCTGCCTGGTCCTGGGTTTTTTTCGTTGGTAGGCTATTAATTACTGCCTCCATTTCAGAACTTGTTATTGGTCTATTCAGGGATTTGACTTCTTCCTGGTTTAGTCTTTTGAGGGTGTATGTGTCCAGGAATTTATCGATTTCTTCTAGAATTTCCATTTTATTCGTTAGAGGTGTTTATAATATTCTCTGATGGCAGTTTGTATTTCTGTGGGATCAGTGGTGATATCCCCTTTATCATTTTCTATTGTGTCTATTTGATTCTTCTCTCTTTTCTTCTTTATCGGTCTGGCTAGCAGTCTATTTTGTCAATCTTTTAAAAAAATCAGCTGTTGGATTCATTGATTTTTTGAAGAGTTTTTCATGTCTCTATCTCCTTCATTTCTGCTCTGATCTTACTTATTTCTTGTCTTCTGCTAGCTTTTGAATTTCTTTGCTCTTACTTCTCTAGTTCTTTTAATTGTGATGTTAGGGTGTTGATTTTAGATCTTTCCTGCTTTCTTCTATGGGCATTTAGTGCTGTAAATTTCCCTGTAAACACTGCTTTAGCTATTTCCCAAAGATTCTACTACATTGTAGACCACTTATATTTTCAATTCTACAACTTATACCACAAGTCAAAAGTACACACAAACATTTTATTTATTTATTTATTTATTTTATTTATTTATTTTTTTTGAGACGGAGTCTCCCTGTCGCCCAGGCTGGAGTGCAGTGGCGAGATCTCGTCTCACTGCAGGATCCGCCCCCCGGGGTTCACGCCGTTCTCCTGCCTCAGCCTCCCGAGTAGCTGGGACTACAGGCGCCTGCTACCTCGCCCAGCTAATTTTTTGTATTTTTAGTAGAGACGGGGTTTCACTGTGTTAGCCAGGATGGTCTTGATCTCCTGACCTCGTGATCCACCCGCCTCGGCCTCCCAAAGTGCTGGGATTACAGGCGTGAGCCACTGCGCCCGGCCACATTTTTTAAAATTACTTGTTCAGATTCCAAAGAGCTGTTCTCCTTCTTGATGGGTATGCAATTCTTAATTGATATAAACTGACAAATAAGCAAACAAGTTAAAAAACAAGCACTAATAGCTGGTCGCCGTAGCTCACGCCTGCAATCCCAGCATTTTGGGAGGCCGAAGCAGGTGGATCATGAGGTCAGAAGTTCAGGACTAGCCTAGCCAAGATGGTGAAACTTCGTCTCTACTAAAAATACAAAAATTAGCCAGGTGTGGTGGCAGTCGCCTGTAATCCCAGCTACTCGGGAGGCTGAGGCAGGGAATTGCTTGAACCCAGGAGACAGAGTTTGCAGTGAGCCGAGATCATACCATTGCACTCCAGCCTGGGCGACAGAGCAAGACTCCATCTCAAAACAACAACAACAACAACAAACAGCAACAACCAAAAGCACTAATAAAACCATACATTCTTTTTTCCCTCCACTGAAAAAGAATAGATCCCTATAATCTGTTTGATAGAGATTATCAAATGTTTTGACCATAAAATCAAATGTCCAATTTTTATTATTACCAAAGTAACATAACTTATCATCTGTGAACAAAGTAAAAAAAAAATCAAACAAAAAAAATCAATAGAAAAGAACAAACAGAAAATAGAATCAGCAATTATCTTAACTCTGTAGTAACTTGGAATTAACTGTTAGAACCAGGGAAATATATATGTGGGCTTAAACATCCCACTGGATACCCTTCTCGGTCTTGTTAGTTTACTTACTTGGCTTCAACAGGTGTGTCCACTGGCATCTATGATTGGCCTTCAATTTTATTTTTTCCTCTGACTTACACTTTTATTTATCTGTGCCACAACAATACAGAGAATTAATATAGAACTGTTTTCTTATTTTACAAGAACATTACAAAAATAATTACAATGTAAATAATTGTGGCCTACTCTCAATTCATGTCGTTAAGAAAATGAAAACAGCTGATATAATATTCTAGGGGTAGTCAAGAGGAATGGAAAAGCAGCATCTATATATTCTTCATATTATAGGCATTATGTCACTTAATGCATAGACCAATTTAATGAGGTAAGGATCCTATTCCACAAATGAGAACCCTGAGCCCGAGGTCTCATTAAAAAGGTATTGCATTTGAACTGTGTTTGGCCTTAACTGTAAAGCCAGAGTATGTTCTCTATGACTATATTGTTTTCTAACCACTCTAATGTTTTTACTGAAAAAGTATGTTAAAGCCATATGATAAGGAGTTATCCTTATTTTAGATTCCTTAAGCATCAATCTTTGATTTTCATAAAGCTCCAAGACTACTTTCATGCACTTATTTGAATTTCAACCTTTCTATTGGTTATATACAACTTTTACTATTGGTTACTATTTTATATGTATTCATTTTTAATTTAAATTTCTTGAAATAGGAAAATTTTTATCACTATTATGAATGTAAAAACAGTGTGTTTGCTAGAAATAGAAAAAGAGAAATAATTATTGAAAGATGTGAGTTTATGCAGGTCTTAAGAGGCTCTCAGGCACTATCAGCTGCTCATGGCGGGAAGGAGGCAGGAGGGAGAACCCTCCCATGTGATACTGGGAAGTCAGGAAGCTCCTTGAGTGTCAGGGAGTGGTCTTCATCAGGAGTTTCTTGAGGGTTACATCAGGTCTCCTTGGTGTTATGACTTCATTCACTCTTCCACTTTTAGACATCACAGATTCTTGGCATTGTGGCAGAGGCTTAGCCCATTATATAATTCCTTCTCATTTAAATATTAGAAAATTATAGTAAGAGCGGCCCATATGTTACTGGAGTGGGAGCTTTAAAATTCCAGATATAATAATCCAAATAAATTTGGTTTCCAGTGTGTACTTATTTTGGTGTTCCTGATATAAAAAACTTGAACTGAATGCAAATCTCCATAACACGCAATGATGTGTAATCCAAGGTCCCAAAATGAACCTTTAAATATGGTATACCTTCAATATAAAGCCAGTCAAGTGGCCATTTCTCATGGCTCTTGGCTCCAAAAGTTATAGTTCCAGAACAAGTAATTCCCATTGATTTGGAAACTTTTGACTAAGAATTTAGATCGGTAACCTCTTCTTTCACAATACTTTGAGGTGGGTAAAACTTTGCATTCCAAATGTGCAACTGGACTCTTTCTATTGTAAAAACGTACATGAACTTTACAGAATATTGGTGGGATAAGGATCCGGGAAGTGTAGCATCATAAGTTGAATGTCTCTAAATGTGAAGTGAATGGGAATTTTTAAGGTTCACTAACTGCAGAATCATCTACTGCTTCAAGACAACTAGAAATCAAAATGGCATAGTGAGAAGTCACACAAAGATGAACCAGAATATCCTGAAGTCAGGATCACTGGTAGGGAATGGCATTTTTAGGGCTTTTTTTTCACTTATTTAAACATTTTGACCACATTTTCATAACAGTAAAACAAGGGAACAGATCCTTGGTCAAATCACTGTGACTGAGCCCTCACCTTCTAAGCTCAAAAAAGAGACTGGGATGATAAAAGGTGACAAGGATCCAAATAAAGATGAAGGGACTTTCTACCACCAAGGAGCTAAGTGTGGAAACTCAAACTCGGTTAACACTAGAACCTAAATCCAGCTTTATGTTATGAACACAACTGTAAGGAAGGGACAGATTGCCATAGCTACTTAGAAAAATGAAGGATGAATACCGAAGAACTGGAGGTAGGTAGTGACCCAGCTACAAACACTTGCTGCAGGAAGAGCTCATGCCCTGAAGTGTGTTGCTGGTAAATTCAGTACCACCACCTGAGCTTCTTGAGAACTTCCAATAATTAGCAGAAGTGCAGGCAATGACGATTATGCAAAAGAGAAATAAGACTTTGGGTGATGATCAAGAGTGAATTGGTTGCAGCTCCAATGCCGATCAGCATAACAACTGTAGACAAAGGTGAAAAGCACTGGGTTGAGGGGTTAGGTTAGCAGAAAGGTAAGCACATCCACAAAATACCTGTCTTGGATCTCTCCAAGAGAAGAGCAGAACAAGAAGGAATTTTGGTCTTGCTGTTTGAAGGATGTGAAAATGAGCCAGTGAACTCCAAGGTCGATGGGGAAAGCAAATTTTCATGCAGAGTATAAATAGGTGCTGACTGTAGGTTATTAAGATTATAAATAGTACCATTTAAGGGGGGGTGAAAGCAATACATTCTGAAATGTAAAGTTACTAGATTGATAAATGATTTATATCATTTGTCATCAAATCAGGGCAGGATAGATTTTTTTCCTGTACTTTAAAAAAGTAATTAATTTACTTTTCTTTAAGTAGGAAGCCCTGATTATCCTTCTAAAGCTCTCGCAACATACCCATAGTAGGTTAATCTAATTTGGAATACTCTGATTAAGAGAAACAAGGAATATCGAGCTTGGCATGAGGCAAATTTTTGTGAGTAGAGGGGGTTAGTGAAATAACAGAGGTCAGATCAATTTTTGGAGGAAGGAAAACTATGAATGAAATAAAATAGGCTTTTTCTGTAAATTGACCTTCTCCTCACATATCTCCTTAGAGCTTAACCACTTGAATGCATCCCCTCAGAAAATCATATGGTACATTTCTCTTTTCTACTCCTCCGGTGTAATTACTTTTCATTTTCTCAAGCCTTTAATTAAGTCTTATATACCTGTCTATTTCATATAATGGGGTCATGGAAAACAAAAATATAGGACAGTAAAATAAATAGTGTCCTTCCCTAAAGTAACCTCTCCAATGGCAGTGCTCAGTAGAGTTCTGAATCCTTGTGAACACACAATGACCAGGAATTTCAGACAGGCCCTGATCCTAAGGTTACCCCAATTCAAGACTTTGGAATCAGTAGAAATAAGTAAAACACCTCAAAGAATACTGAAAAATAGACAATGCAAAAAGAAATTAAAGTACAACCCACATTACCCTCTCTTTATGCTAGAGGACTGACTCTTGAGGCAAGTGGGGTAGAAGCTTGAAGACATTTTCTCAGAAATGAGGAAGTTGAATATTATACTATGTGTGACCATAGAAGCACTGCTACTCAGTAGCAATGCCAGATAGGGCCTGAGAGCTTTCAAATCCAAGTACAATATTATTTTTACTGGACTTATTATCCTGGAAGAGACCTGACAAGGATAGAGCCCTGACAGATTTTCTTTAAACAGTTGTGAAGACACACTGCCTTTCACAGTAGAGAACCAAAGATGATGCCACAACCTGGGTACAAGGTCCCACTTGATCTCTAGGCTAGACAATTACCGATCTTAAGCCTTACTCATCTATGAAATGGTTATTTTAATACCATTTTGGAATGTGGTTATGAGGTAAGATAATGTTCTGTAAATCTAAGATACTGACAATATGAGCAAAAGAAATAAAACAAATTGATTATTTGCAAATCTTTTTCACAAACCTGATTTTCTTCCCCTTCTCTCTTTGAATTTACAGGTTCGTACACTTATTTATTCAGCAAAACTTTCCTCATCACTAGATCTTCCCCTTTTCTTTTCCAGCACTCAATCTGGGAGCAAAGCTCACTCCACCCCACACCCTTCCCAGGCCTTTTCACTGACAGGTTCCTTTCCCCTTTGTTCAATGGGGTTGGCTTTTCTGTTTCCAGCCCCTCTCCATGTCTTTAGCTCGCTCCATGTGGCAGGCCTGAGGGAAGACTTGGGAACAGGGGTTTGAGTCCCCAGGAGGAGAGCCTTGGGTGTAATCTATTTTTCTAGCAACCCCTTGCGTTGTCATTTATCAGCTTTTGTCCTCTGCTTTGAAGGCCTAGGTGAACTCATGTTCTTTGGAAAAAGGGAGGGTGGGTTGTGTTACAGAAATAAAGTGTCTATTTGCTTAAAAAGACATATGATTCCTTTCTCTATATCTCCTCTCCTTCCCCACATTCAGAAGGTTTGCCATAGGAGAATGTAATATTTGTTAAATGAATAAACTATGACACCAATGACTGAATTATTTAGTGACCATGTTTTTCCTGGTTCTTTGCTTTATGCTTAGAATAAGATGAATAAGAAGTGGCCCTTGTCCCAGAAGACTTTATTTTTTGTCTTGATGATGTGAACCTTTACTCAACTATTTTTTCAAGGTTCTTTGAAGTGTTCTGCTCATCACCACTGTTTCCAAACTTTCAGTTTACCACCAAATGAGGTTATTTTAAAAGAGGAAATGCACTTACATGGAGCAGTGTAGGTTTTATGGGCATTTAACCAGCCCAGTAAATAGTCATCCGTATTTATGTTCCTGCTACCTTGTGGCACCATGGTAGATGATGTCTTAGTCCCCTTGTGCTACTATAAGAAAATACCACAGATGGGGTAACTTAAACAACAGAACTTTATGTCTCTTACTTCTGGAAGCTGTGTCTGAGGTCCAAGATTAAGGGGCTGGCTGATTCAGTTCTGGCGAGGGCCCTGTTTCTGATTTGCAGATGGCTGCCTTGTTGCTCTCTCCTCATGTGGCTGAGAGGGAGTTTGTCTCTTGTGTCTCTTCTTATGTTTAAGTGTACTATTCCCAATCATGAAGGCTCTACCCTCATGACCTAATTACCCCCTAGAGGCCCCACCCCAAAATACCATCCCCTTGGGGATTAGGGCTTCAGTATATAAACATTAGAGAAGCACAAACACTGAGTCCATAGCAGATGCTTAAAACTGTGATTTTCAAGCTTGGTGTGATTATCAAGCTCAGTTTTAAATAATGTATGTATTTAATCATAATTGAACAAGTATTTGTTTTAAATGTGGCCACAGGCCGGGTACTGTGGCTCACACCTGTAATCTCAGCACTTTGAGAGGCCGAGGTGGGCGGATCACGAGGTCAAGAGATCGAGACCATCCTGGCCAATGTGGTGAAACCCCAACTATACTAAAAATATAAAAATTAGTCAAGCATGGTGGCATGAGCTGGTAGTCCCAGCTACTCAGGATGCTGAGGCAGGAGAATCGCTTGAACCCGGCAGGCGGAGGTTGCAGTGAGCCAAGATCATGCCACTCTGTACTCCAGCCTGATGACAGAGTGAGACTCTGTCTCCAGGGAAAAAAAAAAAAAAAAAAAAAAAAAAAAAAAACGTGACCACAGGAAAAAGAATGTTAGTAAATTTAAGTATACCTTTTTCTGCTTTGGCTCTGGTAATATTATAAAGCCATGTGAATTTAGTGATTGTCCTTCAGTGATCCTTCTATATCTGCCCACAGAGGACACATGGCTGCTGCAAACCTTGCCCAGCATCTTCACACTCCCACTAATACATGTGTGAGGGTGGTGAGGAGTGAAGGTAAAATAAGGAATAAGGAATAAAAAGTGCTTCTCATCTTCAGATGATGTCTTAAACTTCAATGGGTTTCTAAAGGCCACTCCTCAGAGAGCAAACGAGCCACTATAAAGCAAAAGCCTGAATTTTAAAAGTCTTTCTGAGGCTGGTTAAACCATGATTAATTTTACTTTCTCACATCATTTCTCATAACCTCTCATTTTTTCTTTATCTCATTACACATTGCCACTCACCTTGTGTTGCCTTTTTCCCCCATCATGCCCACCATTTCAAATGAAGATTTATTTTAAAAAGGCAAAAATTTATCTCTTTGGAATTTTAATTTTGTGACTTTATTTTTATTTCTGTATATAAACATTAAATGCAGACTCTTTAATGTCAAAACTAAATATTAATATCTATTTTTTCAATTTTATAGCAGCTTTCTTAACATCTCCAAACTCACTTTAAGCAATTCTATCTAATTTTGTCCCCCATGGATCAGTTTACTATTTGTTTGTTCATAGTTATTTTTTCTTTTATTTTTTTCCTTTATTTATTTTTTTGAGAGAGGGTCTCACTCTGTCACTGAAGCTGAAGTGCAATGACATGATCATGACTGACTACAACCTCACAGCCTTAACCTCCCCAGGCTCAGGTAATCCTCCTAGCATGGCCCCCAGAGTAGCTGGGACTATAAGCACATGCCACCATGCCCAGCTAAGTTTTGTGGGTTTTTGTAGAGGTAGGGTTTCGCCATGTTGCCCAGGCTGATTTCGAATTCCTGAGCTCAAGCAGTGGGCCCACCTCAGCCTCTCAAAGTGCTAGGTTACAGGCATGAGCCACCATGCCCGGCCCTATTTCTAAGTCTTAATGTAGAAAGATTTTTCTCCCTGCAGTGAGATCACAAATTCCTGAAAAGCTGCCATCGTGTGTGTGTGTGTGTGTGTTTGTGTGTGTGTGTGTGTGTGTTCTGGTTTTTGTGTTCATTCACTTATCTTCTCATCAAAACTTTACTAAATAACAACCATGTGCCTGGAACAATACTTACCTTACAGAGAATATAAATATAAATAGGATAATAGGATAGATTTTCTGCCCTTAAAGATGCAATTGTCTAATATAGAATTTTCTTTTCTTTTTTTTTTTTGAGACGGAGTCTTGCTCTGTTGCCCAGGCTGGAGTGCAGTGGTGTGATCTCGGCTCACTGCAAGCTCTGCCTCCCAGGTTCACGCCATTCTCCTACCTCAGCCTCCCAAGTAGTTGGGACTACAGACGCCCACCACCATGCCTGGCTAATTTTTTGTGTTTTTGGTAGAGACGGGGTTTCACTGTGTTAGCCAGGATGGTCTCCATCCCCTGACCCCGTGATCTACCCGCCTCGGCCTCCCAAAGTACTGGGATTACAGGCGTCAGCCACTGCGCCTGGCCCTAATATAGAATTTTCTAACGCATGGTGTCTGTGGTCTCTGTGGAAAGCTTTCTTCGGTGTTTTGGGAATTACTTGCAAGATATGTACATTTTGAGTGGTATACATAGGTGCATTTTTTTTTTTAAATGGAAAGTAGACTTTCCAAAGAGAGTGATTTTAAGAGCTCCATCTTTTAAAAAAAACAGTAAGCAATTTTTAATTATTCTCTCTCTGCTTTATTCCTTTCCTCTTCAATCTCTTTCTCATCACCTTTACTTGGTCCATCATTACCCTCCTTTGTTAAAATGAGACATTATGTGCTTGCGTTGTGAGAAATTTATTTTGAGAATACTAAAATCCATTGACCAGAAACATTTGAAATGTTTATATGAAGAGCCCTGCAGGTCCACTTCCCTGTGAAACTATCATCACTAAAAAATATATATAAAATAAAACAAATAACCATTTAAGATTCTGGAAATTGCCATAAGTTATTGTAGCAAATGAAAACTTATTTATTAAAGAAATTCTGTGAAATTTCAATTAAAAATAGTGGCAATCAATAAAACTTGAGCTGAGACCTGCTCCCTCTATCATTCCATCTAAGCATGACAGATACTCCATTCCATCAGATGTAGCCAAAAACCAGGGCTTCTCCGTTTAGCTTACAGTCAGTCTTGCAGAGAGAGGCAGGCTGGTTATGTTTTTCTTTCTTCCCATGCCCCCATCATCTTTTTTTCTGCCTTAACTCTGCATTTCTGAGACCAAATTCAATGTAAATGTGGCCGAAAGATTAGGGGTTCTCCACCCAGTTCCCACTCAGGATGGAAGCTATAGTCTGGTGCAGCAGCTAAGAGTAGGATGCGCCTGATTACTCTCATCTCAGCTTGCTCATGGGAGGAATGCGTTGCACTTGGAAAGGCAAGCTGAGAAGATGGGAAGAGTCAATCTGTACCCTGGTCATAAAGAAGAGGTGTTGTTCCAAAAGCAGTGAGCCACAGGCCTTGTCGAAAGCTCCTGAAAAGTGAACCATAGATTTTGCCCTCAGGGAGAGGTAAGCCATAAGGAGAGAGTGCTCTGAGGCTCTTCCTAAAGGAATAACTTTATTTGAGCCAGGATATGAAGGAAGTTCAAGACTAAAGATACTCTTTAAAATGGCAATTTTGTTGTTAGCAATTAAGAGCA
This sequence comes from Homo sapiens, assembly GCF_000001405.40. Taxonomy (NCBI): domain Eukaryota; kingdom Metazoa; phylum Chordata; class Mammalia; order Primates; family Hominidae; genus Homo; species Homo sapiens. Next base: position 39,867,296 of record NC_000011.10, on the reverse strand, counting down.
GACTGATAGTTTCTCGAGAGCAAAATGGTAAACCATAAGCCAGTTAGTCTGCTAGAGAATGGAGAAAAGAGGCAGCAGGGAAAAATCTCCCAGATATTCAGGAAAAACAAAACAAAACTCCTCAAGCTGTCCTCAAAAACTGCCCTTACAAAGGGGCTCAAATTTAATAGGATCAAGCCCATGGGGTAATTTATAACTCTGGCGATTGTTAAAAATACAGATCAATCGACCATCAATTAGTGGAGCCCAAAAATTGGGTGTGATGACAATAGAAGCAGACAGCTTAACTGAAAGATTAGAAAAGAAACAAAGAGAGCCCTATTAAAACTACTGTTATCTCATGATGACTGTGCAAATGCCTATAATGCCCACTAAACAAGCAATCAAATGATGACAAAAACAAACCAAGGGTAGGATCAGCATCAAGAGCTGCTATAATATAGTATCTAAAATGTACAGTTTTCAACAAAAATATTAGATTGCATACAAAGAAAAAGGAGGACTTGGTTCATGCATATTATTAAAAAGGGAGGCTGGGAGCGGTGGCTCACACCTGTAACCCCAGCACTTTGGGAGGCTGAGGCACGCGGATCACGGGGTTGGGAGATTGAGGCCATCCTGGCTAATATGGTGAAACTTCGTCTCTACTAAAAATACAAAAAATTGGCCGGGCGTGGTGGCAGGCACCGGTAGTCCCAGCTACTTGGGAGGCTGAGGCAGGAGAATGGCGTGAACCCTGGGAGGCAGAGCTTGCAGTGAGCCGAGATTGTGCCACTGCACTCCAGCCTGGGCGACAGAGTGAGACTCCGTTACCAAAAAAAAAAAAAAAAAAGACAACAAAACTGCCAGTGAGAAGTCCAAGTATGGGATTTTAAAAATACTTCAAAACTCCATTTAAAATATATTTAAATAATTAAAGGATTAAAAGAACATATAGTATTTCATTAAATAGAATATCAATAAAACCAAATTATTTAAAAATGAAAAGTCTGGAGTTGAAGAATATAATAACTGAAATTAAAAATATGCTAGAGGGGGTCAACAGCAAATTTAAATTGACAAAGCATCAGGAAACTAGTAGACTGAAGCAATTATGCAACCTGAAGAACAGGGAGAAATAAAGAAGGCAAATAAACAGAGCTTCAGAGAAATATAAAAGTGTACCAAAAGATAGGTAATAGGAGTAACAAAAAGAGAAGAGAGAGGAAAAGGAGGAGAAAGACTATTTAAAAAAATAAATAATAATGAAATGTCCCAAATTTGATGAAAAACAATGTACACATGCAAGAAGCTCAAAAACTCTAAGTAGGATTAATGCAAAAGACTACATTATAATAAAAATTCTGAAAGCCAAATCAAAAGGAAAATCTTGCATGCAGCAAGAGAAAAATGACACATAATATGCAAGGAAGCCTCAATGATATTAACAGCCGACTCCCCATGAGAAACAACAGAAGGCAGAAGATAGGAGGATGCCATATTCAAAGTGAAGAAACAAGAATACAAAAAGACAAATAAGACATTTATAAGCAGAAAATCTATCTTTAAATAATAAACATCAAGACATTGCCAAACAAATAAAAAATGATGCTGATTTGTTGCTAACACACTGCTTTGGAAGAAATTTCAGCCTAAAGGAAGTTCTTTATTAATAATAATTACAACAAAGCATTTTTAGTTTTGTAGCATGTATCAGTGTAATACAAATAACAATAGTATAAAATGCAAAAGAAGAAATAGAAATATACAGGTGTTACATCTATTCTCACTAGCAGTATGTTATTATATATCTGAATTAGATCATGGTAAACTAAGATGTATTTGGTAAGTCCTAGAGCAACCAATATAAATTTAAAAATACAGTTTAAAAGCCATTTAAGTATGAAAATATTATACTAGAAAATACTTAATGCTAAAGAAAAAAATGAAGAAGAAATAGAAAAACAAACAAGATATAAGACTTACAGGACACTAAAATGCCAGACATAAATCCAACTATCTCAATAATTATATCAAAAGTATGTAGATTGAACAATCTAATCAAAAATTATAGATTGCCAGTCTGGGTAAAAACAAAAAACAAAAACATACTCCAGTTCTATATTGTCTATAGGAGGCACATCTTAGTTTCAAATATATGCATAGTTTCAGAATAAATTAATGGAAAAAGCAAACAGCAAGCTTGCTGTATTAGTGTCTGACAAAGTAGACTTTAAAATAAGAAATGTAACTAAGAGAAAGAGTAGATTTTATATTGATGAATGCATTAATCCATCAGAAAGATGTAACAATTACAAACATATATAAAAACAGACCACAATACATGAAGGCATCCTTGACAGAATTGAAGGGAGAATAGAATTTGAACAATAGTGAAGACTTCCATATTCCTCTTTTGATAATGATTATAACTAAGCAGAGAATAAATAACGAAATGGAAGACTTGAATAACGCTATAAAGCAAATACGGCTAAGAGGCAACCAGTAGAATGCGTTATTCTATTTTTGCCTGCCCAACAACAGTGGGACCCATTATTCTCAAGGGCATGAAGAATTTTTCTTGATAGGCCGATGCTACTCACACAATCCTTGATAAACTTATAAGGGTTGAAATCCTACATTCTCTGACTACAATGAAATAGATTTAGAAGTTAATAGTGAAAGAAATACTGGAAATTCACAAATGTATGGAGACTAAACAACATGCACCTAAATAACCAAAGGGTCAAAGGACTAATCAAAAACAAATATGAAATATTTTAAGATGAGGTGACTCAAAAGGAGGGGACAACATATCAAAACTTACAAGATGTAGCTAAAGTAGTGATTACAGAGAAATATACAAATGTGAATGCTATATTAAAAAAGAAGACCTCAAAAAATAACCTAACCTGCCTTATGTCAGTAGAAAGAAGAGGCAACTAAAGTAGGAAGCTATTAAATAATAAACATCAGAGAAAAATTAATAAAATACAGAAATACAATAGAAAAAATAAACAAAACCAAAAATTGATTATTTGAAAAGAGGAAGTAAATTGACAAATGCTTATCAATGCTGATGAAAGAAAAAGAGAAAACTCAAAATACTCAAATTAGGAATGAAAGATGAAATGTTACTAATGTTGTTTTTATGAATACTCTGAACAAAAGTCTAGTGGGTTGGATGGTAGCCCCTGCAAAAGAGGCTTAAGGATTAAAGGATTAAAAGAAGATATGATATTTCATTAAATAGTATATCTATAAAACCAAATTATTTTAAAATGAAAATTCTGGAGTTGAAGAATATAATAACTGAAATTAAAACTATGCTAGAGGGGGTCAACAGCAAATTTAAATTGACAGAAGAGTCAGCAAATATGTCCACATTCTAAACCCCATACCTTGTAAATGTGACCTAATTTGGAAAAAGGGTCTTTGCTGATATAATTAAACTAAGGATTTTGAAATAAGCTCTAGTGTCCTTATAAAAGAAGGGAAGACAGAAAAAAGAAGATCATGGGAAGATGAATAGAGAAGTTAAATTATGTGCCACAAGCCAAGGAATGCCAGGACCCACTAGAAGATGAAAGAGACAAGGCACATTATCTCTCCCATGGGAACCTCTGGAATGTGGCTCTCCTGACAACTGGAGGGCAGATTTTAGACATCTGTCCTCCAGAACCGTGAGATAATAAATGTCTGCTGTTTTGAGCCACCAACTTTGTGGTAATCTATTATGACAGCTTTAAGAAACAAATAAAAACTATGTGACAATAAATTTGATAATTTTGATGAAACGGACAAATTTCTAGAAAAACCCAATTAACTAAAAGTGACTCAAAAAGAAATAGAAAATCTGAAGTGGTCTGTAACAAGTAAAACAATTGAAATAGTAATCAAAACACTACACATACCTAGAAAAAGGACATACCTAGTCGACTTCACTGTTAAATTCTGCCAAACATTGAAATCAGAATTAATGCCATGTTTTCAAAATCTTGCAAAAATTAAAAGAGAAGGGAAAACTTCTCGACTCATTCTATGAGGCCATTGTTATCCTCATATCAGAACCAGACAAAGATAAACATGGAAAGAAAACTAAAGACCAATATCTTTATGATTATAGATGCAGGAACCTTCAATGAAATATTAGCAAATAAAATGCAGGAGCATATGAAAGAAATATACATCATGGTTAAATAGGGTTAATTCTGGGAATGCAAGGTTTGATACAACATATGGTAAGCAATGAAGATAATATATCAAAAGAATAAAGTCAAAAACTACACAATAATCTCAGTAGATGCAGACAAAAGTCAATACTTCTTCATGATAAAAACACTCAACAAGAGGTAGTAGAAGGAAGTTTCCTCAGCCTGAAAAAAAGCATCAATGAAAAACGAATAACATCGTATTTAACAGTAAAACCCGAAAGTATTCTCTAAAATCAGGAACAGAAGAAGGATGATCACTCTTATCAGCTTTCTTCAATATCACCCTAGATGTTCTATCTAAGATAATTAAGCAAGGAGAAGAAATACTGTGAAACTAGATAGAAAAGAGGAAGAATAAAGCTATACTTTTAGATGATATAATCTTGTACATGAAAAAAATCCAACAAAATCCATTAAAAAAGATAGGAGTTATTAAGCCAGTTAAACAAGTTCTTGAGATATAGGAATAATAATAAATTAAAAGATTGTTTTCTATATGTTTGCAACAAACAATCTAAATATAAAATTAAGAAAATATTTTACTTAAAATAGCATCAAAAAGTAAATTCTCAAAAATAAATTTGACAAAGAAGTTAAAAGCTTATACTGTGAAGCTGTAAAACATTTTTCATGGATAGAAACATAATATAGTTAAGATGCAAATATTTTTAAAAATCAATGTGTATGTTCAAATGCAGTCCCCAACAAAGTTTCACTTGGTTTCTTGTAGAAATTGACAAGCTGATCCTAAAAGTAATATGGACCTTATGGAGACCCAGAATAGCCAAAATAATTTTGAAAACGAAGAAATTTGGAGGATTCACAAGTCCTGAATTCAAAGTACAGTACAAACCTACAGTAATTAAGACATGTTGTGCTGAAACAAGGGTAGACATATAGATCAATGGAATGTAATTGATAAGTGTTCTAAGACCATTTTATGACAAAAGAGTAGTCTTTTCAACAGTGGTGCTGGGACAACTGGATATCCACAGGGTAAAAAATGAAGTTGGACCCCTACCTCACACCATAAACAAAAAATAACTCAAAAGGTATCTAAGACCTAGATGTAAGGGCAAAATATAAAAACCTCTTTGTTGAAAACATAAATGTAAGTCTTCAGGTTTTTGGACTTGACAAGGACTTATTAGGTATAACACCAAAAGCTCAAGTAGCAAAAGTATAAATATGTACATTTGATGTCTAAATTCTAAATTTATGTTCAAAGAACAGCACCAAGAAAGTGAAAAGATGAACCATATAATAGGAGAAAATATTTGCAAATCATATATCTGATAAAGAACTTTTATCTGGAATGTATAATTCACTCTTAACACTCAATAATACAAAGGCACATAACATTAAAAATGGGCAAACGATCTCAATAGATTGTTCAAAGAATATATACAGCACATGGAAAGGAAAGAAAGACATAAAAATCAGGTCTGTAATTGAATTGTGAAGAAATACAATGCTTAGTTCAAGGGAAAGGGTGTTTACATGTGTACAAAATGGTATTAGGTTGGTGCAAAAAGAATTGAGATTTTGCCTTTAAAACTAATAGCAAAAACCACAATTCTTTTTGCACCAACCTAATAGCTTGTGAGGTATGTTTTGGAAGATGAAATGTTTACTATGCAGAAATGAAGATAAAGGACTCAACAGAGGGAACATTGTGAAAAATAGGCTAAAAGTCATATAGATAGAAATAACAATGCAGATATGTGAGTCCAGCTGAGTATCTCTGAAAACTCCATGCAGGTTCTTCTGAGTTCACTTGCAGTAAGAAATGGAGTTGTTTGGAAAGTTCTTAAATTATATACAGCTTCTGACAATTATCTATGTGATAGAAGAGTTTTCAGGTGACCCCTGATTTGAGGATCTAAGCAGATTCTAGAGATATTTTCATCTGTTTCTTTTTTAGTGCTATTTACAGAAAGGAAACATTGGCAGAAATACTCGATCCTGGTGTACATCCAATTTTATTCCGTTTTGATTGGCTAGGCCTCAGGAAATGATTTTCACATAAACAAAGGATATTAAAAGGCTGATCTTGGATCCTGTGTCCCTTTCTAATGCTGATTTTGAAGACTGGATGGTAAAGTTCATGAAGGCAATATCCACAGAACCCACTGATTTATAGAAAAAATAATAATTTCTTTAAAATCGTTGGTTATGTTATGGTAAAATAGACTTTATTTTCGACTTGTAGGAAGAAACAGAAAAGGATCAGATTCCACTTAAAATAAATTTCTAGAATAAAAGTATGGTAAAAAGTTTCAATATCTACTATAATTTTAATAAGTTGTAGTTACTTAAAACTTTTTAGAGGTAATTTGTTCATGTGTGATAAATTTTGTCAGCTATTTGCAGATATATGAGGTCAAATGTAATTTAGTTCTGTTAGGTTTGAAGATCTTGGTAACAGAAATCTTTCATAAAACTGTATTTTGAGAAACTGATTTATCAGTGACAGAGAGACTTGGAAAAAGTAAAGACTCTTTTGATGAACTTTCAGACATTTGAATAAATAAATATTTGTAGACTATAATTGAGGAATAGCCCCTCCATAAACTAGAAAGTCTATTGATTGAATAACATAAAAATTGACCTTCATACAGTACTAATCTGTGCATTAATTCCAGGCTACATTGTACAAAAACATACAAACAAAATCTAACGTGATTTTTAAAAAAGCAGAAGTGAAAAAAACTTGAGGTATAAGTTGATTGTTTTCATTATAATTATCTAACATTTGATTTCTGATTTTAAAGGAGATAAATGCTAAGAAACATTGGACAATAAAAGGGTATAAAAAGAAGATTAAATCACTGATAATTTCACCACCCATGGATTAACATTTTTATGTTGAAAACGTTTTCAGTAGACAAATGGAATAAATAGATAGATGCATAGACTATATGTAGATAGAAATAAAGGTAAATGTCTTAATATCTCTTACATTTATTTATAAAATTGGCATAAACTTGTCATCTGCAAATTCATTATTGTTGCATCTTTTATTGAAAATTACTTGCTTAAGCTTTAGCCTATATTAAATATTCTTCAAAAGTATAATGCAATTGATGGATAACATTCAATAACATATGGACAACATAAACTACTGAACAATCTCTCCTATTATTTTATACATTGGTTCCTTTTTTTATTCCTTAACACAATTCTATAATGCCTATTCTCTACCTAAGTTACTACACCTCTGTTTTTAACTCAAAATGAATTTTTGAGAGGTTTAGTTCTAAGACAGAAGGTAGAACATATTTTTGTTCTCTTTGCAAAGAGTCCCCAGATGATTTCCAGGCTTGCAGCAAAATGTAATCTTCCATCAGCAGTGAAAAGTTCTGATCTTGCTCTATCTTCTATTGAAATGAGTATTACTGTTAATTATTTTTTTGGCAGAAACTAGTATTTCATTGCATTAAATTAAGTAACTGGATTAGTATTAAAGCAAAATATTTTTTAAATGCTAATTTTCACATCTATTTTTTGATTTATTACTGTTTTAGGTTTAGGACACTTTTATATTATTTAAAATTTATTTGTCATTTTATTATACAATTTGTAGCTTAGTTTTAAATCTCTTAATGTATTTGTATCCATTCTGAGGTCTGAATTTTATTTATTTATTTATTTTGAGGCAGAGTCTCACTCTGTTGGCAAGCTGGAGTGCAGTGGCGCAATCTCTGCTCACTGCAACCTTCACTTCCTGGGTCCAAGCGATTCTCCTGACTCTGCCTCCCGAGTAGCTGGGACTACAGGCATGCAACATTATGCGCAGCTAATTTTTGTGTTTTTAGTAGAGACGGGGTTTCATCATGTTGGCCAGGAAGATCTTTACTGCTTGACCTCGTGATCCACCCGCCTTGGCCTCCCAAAGTGCTGAGATTACAGGCATGAGCTACCAGGTCCGGCTGAGGTCTCAATTTTTTTTAATTTTATTTATTATTTTTGAGATAGAGACTCACTCTGTCACCCAGGCTGGAGTACAGTTGTGCAATCATGGCTCACTGCAACCTCACCCTTCTGGGCTCCAACAATCCTCCTACCTCAGCCTCCCAAGTAGCTGGGATTACGGATGTGTACCACCATGCCTGGCTAATTGCTTGTATTTTTTTGTAGAGATGAGGTTTCCCCATGTTGCCCAGGCTGGTTTTGAACTCCTCAACTCAATCTATTTGGCTGCCTTGGTCTCCCAAAGTTCTGGGATTACAGATGTGAGCCACCACGCCGGGTCTAATATTTTTTAAGTGTGCACTTAAATATATGAGTCTATTCACCTCTAATTTTCTTTCCTCATTGAGTTACATTTTGTTTATATTGGTTGTGGTGTTTTAAGGTTATTATTTTTCAAATTTAACTTATTTAATTGGAATAAATATAGCTTTATTGGTTTATGATATAAAATAACTATCTGACTTTTTTCAGCTAATTTTCTAAGAACTATATTTAAAAATATTTTGCCATTAATTTGTAATATTCCCTTTTAAATAAATTTAATTTTTATGTATCAAAATAATCTATGTCCCCTGTGGATTTTTCCCGGCTGGAGAGAGCATAGATATTCTGTGGCTTTCTCTTCAACGATAGATCAGGGAGCCGTGTTGTGATGATAAAGGTAGTGTTAATAAATATGGGCATGTACAAGGGGCTCAGTGTGCATTGCATTACCCAATTATTTCCATCTTGGGTAAGTGAAAAACTAAAACCCCTTGAGCTTCTGCAGACTTTTTGTATTATCTTAATAAGCATAAATGGTGTTTTTGTTGTTGTTGTTGTTGATGTTGTTTTTGCAGTGGAGGGAATCACAGTAAAGAGACATGATATTACAATTACGTCTCTGGATATAGTCTTTTAAAACCAAATAAAGCTAAAGAAGGTTAAAATTATTTTGCATAATAAGTTTTTTTTAATTTAAGGTATATGATATTTCTACAGGTTATTTTCTTTAGGAAAATAATCATTCTTTATTAATGTGGATTTAGACATCAGTGAATCTAAGCATAATTGTATTTCCTTAGAGGATGTATGTGAATGTGTGCGTGTGTGCATGTATGTGTGTCTGGCAATTAATAAAAAAGAACCTGAAGTTTTAAGAAGGAGGTTATGTAGTTTCACCTCAAATAGGAAAAGGAGGTCTAAATCTGGCGGGGTTGAGGGGCATAACCCAATCTGAATAAAGGATTTTGCTGAAATTAATCTCGCCTATCAACACACCAGTCAGGAAATAGGGTTATTCCCAGATCAAATGTTGCAATTTTAAGAAATGTGTTGTTGAAGATTTCTGAAAAATGTTGAAGATTCTTTTTTCTCAATTTTGACATTTTTTGTTGAAGTATACCATATATACAGAAAAGTACACAAATCCTAAATGCATAGATGGTTCACTTTCGTACACTTTTAACCAACGCTGCCATAAGGGACAGAACATCAGTAGCACCCCAGAAAACTCTATTGTGCACCCATCCATTCATTTCTACCCAAGAGTACCCTTTATGATTTTTAATACTATAGACAAGTTTTGCCTGTTTTAAAAGTGTACTTAAATTTTAGAATCAACTTTTCATTTACATACACATCACAAACACACACACACATCTCACACACACACAAGCACACCTTTCCAGGATTTTGATTGGGATTGAACTAAAGCTATCTATCGACACTTTAGGAAAGGACTGAAATTTTTACAATTTTGAGTCTTTCAAACTGTAAACATGAACATAATCATTCTCTTAACAAGGGGTTAGGAAATCTAGAGAGACAAAAGCAGCAGAAGTACGAAAGAAAACTCATTAGTTTAAATAATCAATGTTCTTTCTATTACATTAGTAAAAATAGAAACTGGTCAGTGAATTTAAGAAAATACAGGATAAAAATGAAGAAAGAACAAAGTATTTGTATTATTGTGACAAGTGGAAAAAAATGAGCCAAAACATAGTAGAGATAATGAAAAGGAGTAGAAAGACTAGTTGAGAGGAAAAGACTAGTTGACAAACAAGGGACCTCTGTAAACTCCATTCTTATTTACCCAAATAATGAGGCTTTCTCTCATATCAATGACAACAACGTGTTAAAATTGACTTTAAAATGATGTAATCATTAAATCACCAGAATTAGAACAAAATATGGTGCAACTGATTTCACTAGATGAAAGGTCTAGACAGAATCTTTGGATGATTTTATTGAATATATAAAGGATTAAATATTTGGGGATGACATTTGGTTAAAAGCAGAAAGTATATTGATCTGTGAGCTCAGGACTTTCTTTAGTATGGCAGAGCACTTGTGCATTTCATTGATGTGGTCAGAGCCAGAATGAATGAATTGAACATTCGAGCAATAAACAGTTTTTCTCAAGTTGGTACTCATTTAAAAGTTTGATTCATAAGAAGTCTGTAAAATGCTGAACTTTCTTATTTACCTGGTGTGACAGGTTTGGTAAATAGGCCTAGCTTATTAACAATGGTGACAAAGTAACACTGTGATTGTTCCCCCAGGCAGGTATAATCACAAAGGCTTTTCTGTTGGGAAACCTAGCTTTACTCTAACTAATGTAATTGTGTTCTAGTTTATTCTGCAAATGTGAATGATGGAATGAAGGATGAGGAAAGTTTGATAGAAATTTTAGACCCAAACCAGACCCTAAGAAGAGATTTTTTTTTTTCCCTAGAAGGGCTGGATATATACACTGTGGGTCTTTTAATCAGGTTCTATGTTTCTTAAATCATAAAAGGGACACACTTCAAGTCAGGTGCAATTTTGGAATGGGCTGAGCATGTGATGAGCTCATTTCAACAGGTTTACTGTTTTTCTTCTTCTAACTTCAACATTGTTTTTCCGATTTCTAGACATAACTTCCTTTACTTTTTCTCCAAATAATCTATAATGTTTGGTAAATATAATTTATTTCCTTGAGTTCAACTGAGGCCAATTTAGAGACAAGGCTGTGAAAGAAAGGGTGGTTTTCCTCTGGTGTTCTGTGTTAAACTGCAATTTTACAGCTGCAAAGGAACTAGAGATAATTTTCTGCTGTAGAACTTCGAATAAGATGAGATAAGGAATTTAAGACAAAGGGCCAGACTTTAAATCTGCAGATTGTACTCAGGATTTGAGGAATTACTGGTCAAATGTCTTATTGATTATTATAAGTGACAAGATACTATAAGCTTGTTTGCAGAATATTCCATACTGAAATAATAGATGGAGCTCTCTGAAGGACTTTTATTTTAGCTTCAAAGCTGATTAAAACCAACATTAATTGTATTTATGGTACTGGAATGGAATCACTTCAACAGACTGACTTCATTTTCTTCTTATGTCAATAACTAAATTTTTCATTGCCTAGATTTATACCAATTCTAAAAGAAAACTAGAACACTCATCATTTATAATAAAACATTTATAATAAATAATTTACCACTCAAACAAATACAGTTGGATATTTCTTTGTATGGATGAATTAAGCTTTAATTATTCATCCAATTGAATCTTGGGTTATAAATCCTTAAATCCCTCATTCTAATGATTTTTGAACTTCCGTATATGACTTCAAAAAATGATAGAAAACTAGGTGCATTTTTATTACTTTAATTTTAAGCTCTCTCATTTGGTACCCAACATTTACAATAGTATTCTATTTTTTCAAAAGACTTTTAAGATTTATTTTTGTTTTGTTATTACATCACCGGGGTAGTTGATCTGAGCTCAATACTCCCACTAGTTCTGAGATGAAAACCGTACTTGAATCAGTTTTGTAAGTTCCGAAGGAAATAAAGATTGAGTATGTTACAATTTAAACGCTCTAAAGCCTAAAATGACCCAAAATATTAGGAAAACATTTTTCATTTCCTAGTAGTTGTTTGAGTGGGTACGTAAACATTTTAGACATTTTATTTTTATTTTTTTAATCACAAAATATTTATTGCAAATTGTAAAATATTATAAATTATTTAAATTTTAGAAATAAGGTAAAAAGTGAGTGGCATGACTTTTAAATATCTCACTGAGTAATGGTTTAAATCACCCAAGAAATATTTAGTTTTTAGGACAATTTACCTTTGTTTGATTTTACTATTTGCTATTAACTAACAGCTTATATTACTAAAATAACATGTTAACTTGTAGACCTTTGTAATAGGGATGCAGATAATCACTTTTATGTAGAAAATGTAGCCCCAAAGATCAAAATTTTATAGCCCTGTGGGTTATTAAAGTGTTTTGTTCCTAACTCAGTCCATGCTTTTTGGAATGCTTTCTCAAGTAGACTATAAATACTTTGTTCCCCAAAATGTTCTTTGGACAGATGCAATAATTTGTGTAAGTTTGACATATATTTAATCACATTTTAAAGTGTTTGAAAATTGTGATTTGACAGTTTTGGAGAGCCACCAAAAGTTCCGTGGACTCACCTGCCCAGAATCAATTAAATTTTCTTCACTGAGAAGTGCACCTTATGGGCTATTTAAGCCCAGGCAAATCTTTTCATGGCCTCTGAAATGATTCTCAAGCTACACAATAGCACTTTATTTTTGCTGACTTTCTATTTGCCTACAGTTGTTTTCTTTCTTCTAATATTCGTGTTTTAATTTTTTAATCAAGTATATTATTATATTGGTGTGTTGCAGCCATATCCCTTTCCATAACACAGACCAGGGACCTGTGTTTCTCTATATGTTATGTTGGAGTACTAGGCTCTCACATGCATGACAGAGAGAGCACCCTGTGCATATGTGAAGCTGATTTACTAGATGATCATTTATTTCATGTTGGTGGGAGCAGAGATTGTAATCTAGTTTATGTGACCATTTGGTGTTCTCAGTCAGGTGGATGATAGAATTTATACTTTGTTGGATAAGAGATCGCAAATAATCAAGTTTTTAGTCTATGTTATTTTAGCCTGTGATATTTGCCACGCATTAGAAAGGGGAACTGCTTCTTGAGATTTGAACCTGTGATTTTTCTGTGTTTCTGTCTACTTGACTTTGGTTTAACTCTCTAAGATCTCTATAGGTCTGTGATCTATAAATAGAATGGATTTTATGTCTTATTTTATGAGTGTAAAATTTTTTTACTTTCAGAAGGTATGAATGAACTATATTACAGTTTCACTTAAGAAAACTCGATTCTAATTGGTTTATAGAGTTATACAAGAATATACATATCAAATATGCCCACTATTTCCAGAAATTAAACTAAGTTTCTGGTACTTTATTTTTCCTGATCCAGTATTTCTCAAAAATGTGGTTTATGCCAACTAGAGGTTCCTTTTATGTGTGTCTGTGAGGTCAAAACTATTTTCATAGTAATAAGAACTGATGCGATTTTTCTCACCCTCATTTTTTATGGGCATACAGCAGATTTGCCTAGAGGATGCATGACACATGATGACAGTATTTCTTAGACAACTAACGGAAGGTGTTCTCATGTTTTCTAGGATTTTCTAAGGTAATAGATTTTGTATATGAATGTGTACATATTCAGAGATTAACTCAGTGTGTTTTCAGTAGTATCTTTATGCTCTTGCTAGCTATTTTGCATTCATCTCTATGACCTCACTATTGTCCATTTTTATTTGGCAGAATGACAAATAGCAAACTATGGTTATTCAGATGAATATGTAGCAAATATTTTCTTTAAATGAATAAATGAGTCTATAAAATCAAGGAAAGACTGGCAGTGTTTTTTTGCCATAGATAGAATTTAAACTTTCAAGTGAAAAATATAATTTTGATAAACATGTACATGATCCTAAGTGCTTCCCAATAGAAAAAGACTTTCCTGATGCCATCACTGGTGATATTAGCCAATAGGATTTTAAATATTTTATCATGAATTATGTTTACATTTGGAAGAGTTATACAATTTCATGAATTAGTATATTTGAATTGACTACTGAAAGATTTTATTAACAGCATGCATCTACAAAAGATACATTCTAAAGATAGAATACATCAATGAATTTTAAAGAAACAGAAAAGTTTACTGATATACTTTCATATTCCACATTGCAAATAGCTTTTAAAAAATAATACATCATGCTTTGGTTGTAGTTTTGAGGAAGAAAATCTACAATGATATAAAAAGGCTATTGAAATACACTTTGTTTTCCCCATTACATATCTATTGAGAGTACGTATTCTACATAAACTTCACAATCAACAATTTGAGTGCAAAAGCAGGCATTTTATTATGGAAGATAATGAGATATATAAAAATATTAAAATGATACAATTTTTCCACAGTTGTTTTATTTTGAAAAACAATTATTTTTAATAAAATATATACATGTTATAGATTTCGTATTGCTTTATAAATTGAATTAATAAATCTTAAAAATTATAATTTAAAAATGCCTAATACAATAAATGTTTCTTTTTTATTTTATTTTATTTTATTTTATTTTTCAGTAACTTCTTTTTTTTTAATTTATTTATTTATTATTATACTTTAAGTTTTAGGGTACATGTGCACATTCTGCAGGTTAGTTACATATGTATATATGTGCCATGCTGGTGCGCTGCACCCACTAACTTGTCATCTAGCATTAGGTATATCTCCCAATGCTTTGCCTCCCCCCTCCCCCCACCCCACCACAGTCCCCAGAGTGTGATATTCCCCTTCCTGTGTCCACGTGATCTCATTGTTCAATTCCCACCTATGAGTGAGAATATGCGGTGTTTGGTTTTTTGTACTTATGATAGTTTACTGAGAATGATGACTTCCAATTTCATCCATGTCCCTACAAAGGACATGAACTCATCATTTTTTATGGCTGCATAGTATTCCATGGTGTATATGTGCCACATTTTCTTAATCCAGTCTATCATTGTTGGACATTTGGGTTGGTTCCAAGTCTTTGCTATTGTGAATAATGCCGCAATAAACATGCGTGTGCATGTGTCTTTATAGCAGCATGATTTATAGTCCATTGGGTATATACCCAGTAATGGGATGGCTGGGTCAAATGGTATTTCTAGTTCTAGATCCCTGAGGAATTGCCACACTGACTTCCACAAGGGTTGAACTAGTTTACAGTCCCACCAACAGTGTAAAAGTGTTCCTATTTCTCCACATCCTCTCCAGCACCTGTTGTTTCCTGACTTTTTAATGATCGCCATTCTAACTGGTGTGAGATGGCATCTCATTGTGGTTTTGATTTGCATTTCTCTGATGGCCAGTGATGATGAGCATTTTTTCATGTGTTTTTTGGCTGCATAAATGTCTTCCTTTGAGAAGTGTCTGTTCATGTCCTTCGCCCACTTATTGATGGGGTTGTTTGTTTTTTTCTTGTAAATTTGTTGGAGTTCATTGTAGATTCTGGATATTAGCCCTTTGTCAGATGAGTAGATTGCAAAAATTTTCTCCCATTTTGTAGGTTGCCTGTTCACTCTGATGGTAGTTTCTTTTGCTGTGCAGAAGCTCTTTAGTTTAATTTGATCCCATTTGTCAATTTTGGCTTTTGTTGCCATTGCTTTTGGTGTTTTAGACATGAAGTCCTTGCCCATGCCTATGTCCTGAATGGTAATGCCTAGGTTTTCTTCTAGGGTTTTTATGGTTTTAGGTCTAACATTGAAGTCTTTAATCCATCTTGAATTGATTTTTGTATAAGGTGTAAGGAAGGGATCCACTTTCAGCTTTCTACATATGGCTAGTCAGTTTTCCCAGCACCATTTATTAAATAGGGAATCCTTTCCCCATTGCTTGTTTTTCTCAGGTTTGTCAAAGATCAGATGGTTGTAGATATGCGGCGTTATTTCTGAGGGCTCTGTTCTGTTCCATTGATCTATATCTCTGTTTTGGTACCAGTACCATGCTGTTTTGGTTACTGTAGCCTTGTAGTCAGGTAGCGTGATGCCTCCAGCTTTGTTCTTTTGGCTTAGGATTGACTTGGCGATGCGGGCTCTTTTTTGGTTCCACATGAACTTTAAAGTAGTTTTTTCCAATTCTGTAAAGAAAGTCATTGGTAGCTTGATGAGGATGGCATTGAATCTGTAAATTACCTTGGGCAGTATGGCCATTTTCATGATATTGATTCTTCCTACCCATGAGAATGGAATGTTCTTCCATTTGTCTGTATCCTCTTTTATTTCATTGAGCAGTGGTTTCTAGTTCTCCTTGAAGAGGTCCTTCACATCCCTTGTAAGTTGGATTCCTAGGTATTTTATTCTCTTTGAAGCAATTGTGAATGGGAGTTCACTCATGATTTGGCTCTCTGTTTGTCTGTTGTTGGTGTATAAGAATGCTTGTGATTTTTGTACATTGATTTTGTATCCTGAGACTTTGCTGAAGTTGCTTATCAGCTTAAGGAGATTTTGGGCTGAGACAATGGGGTTTTCTAGATATACAATCATGTCGTCTGCAAACAGGGACAATTTGACTTCCTCTTTTCCCAATTGAATACCCTTGATTTCCTTCTCCTGCCTAATTGCCCTGGCCAGAACTTCCAACACTATGTTGAATAGGAGTGGTGAGAGAGGGCATCCCTGTCTTGTGCCAGTTTTCAAAGGGAATGCTTCCAGTTTTTGCCCATTCAGTATGATATTGACTGTGGGTTTGTCATAGATAGCTCTCATTTTGAGATACGTCCCATCAATACCTTATTGAGAGTTTTTAGCATGAAGCGTTGTTGAATTTTGTCAAAGGCCTTTTCTGCATCTATTGAGATAATCATGTGGTTTTTGTCTTTGGCTCTGTTTATATGCTGGATTACATTTATTGATTTGCATATATTGAACCAGCCTTGCATCCCAGGGATGAAGCCCACTTGATCATGGTGGATAAGCTTTTTGATGTGCTGCTGGATTTGGCTTGCCAGTATTTTATTGAGGATTTTTGCATCAATGTTCATCAAGGATATTGGTCTAAAATTCTCTTTTTTGGTTGTGTCTCTGCCCGGCTTTGGTATCAGGATGATGCTGGCCTCATAAAATGAGTTAGGGAGGATTCCCTCTTTTTCTATTGATTGGAATAGTTTCAGAAGGAATGGTACCAGTTCCTCCTTGTACCTCTGGTAGAATTCGGCTGTGAATCCATCTGGTCCTGGACCCTTTTTGTTGGTAAACTATTGATTATTACCACAATTTCAGATCCTGTTATTGGTCTATTCAGAGATTCAACTTCTTCCTGGTTTAGTCTTGGGAGAGTGTATGTGTCGAGGAATTTATCCATTTCTTCTAGATTTTCTAGTTTATTTGTGTAGAGGTGTTTGTAGTATTCTCTGATGGTAGTTTGTATTTCTGTGGGATCGGTGGTGATATCCCCTTTATCATTTTTTATTGCGTCTATTTGATTCTTCTCTCTTTTTTTCTTTATTAGTCTTGCTAGTGGTCTATCAATTTTGTTGATCCTTTCAAAAAACCAGCTTCTGGATTCATTAATTTTTTGAAGGGTTTTTTTGTGTCTGCATTTCCTTCAGTTCTTCTCTGATTTTAGTTATTTCTTGCCTTCTGCTAGCTTTTGAATGTGTTTGCTCTTGCTTTTCTAGTTCTTTTAATTGTGATGTTAGGGTGTCAATTTTGGATCTTTCCTGCTTTCTCTTGTGGGCATTTAGTGCTATAAATTTCCCTCTACACACTGCTTTGAATGCGTCCCAGAGATTCTGGTATGTTGTGTCTTTGTTCTCGTTGGTTTCAAAGAACATCTTTATTTCTGCCTTCATTTCGTTATGTATTCAGGAGCAGGTTGTTCAGTTTCCATGTAGTTGAGCGGTTTTGAGTGAGATTCTTAATCCTGAGTTCTAGTTTGATTCCACTGTGGTCTGAGAGATAGTTTGTTGTAATCTCTGTTCTTTTACATTTGCTGAGGAGTGCTTTACTTCCAAGTATGTGGTCAATTTTGGAAAAGGGGTGGTGTGGTGCTGAAAACAATGTATATTCTGTTGATTTGGGGTGGAGAGTTCTGTAGATGTCTATTAGGTCTGCTTGGTGCAGAGCTGAGTTCAATTGCTGGGTATCCTTTTTGACTTTCTGTCTCATTGATCTGTCTAATGTTGACAGTGGGGTGTTAAAGTCTCCCATGATTAATGTGTGGGAGTCTAAGTCTCTTTGTAGGCCACTAAGCACTTGCTTTATGAATCTGGGTTCTCCTGTATTGGGTGCATATATATTTAGGATAGTTAGCTCTTCTTGTTGAATTGATCCCTTTACCATTATGTAATGGCCTTCTTTGTCTCTTTTGATCTTTGTTGGTTTAAAGTCTGTTTTATCAGAGACTAGGATTGCAACCCCTGCCTTTTTTTGTTTTCCATTTGGTTGGTAGATCTTCCTCCATCCTTTTATTTTGAGCCTATGTGTGTCTCTGCACGTGAGATGGGTTTCCTGAATACAGCGCAATGGTGGGTCTTGAGTCTTTATCCAATTTGCCAGTCTGTGTCTTTTAATTGGAGCATTTAGTCCATTTACATTTAAAGTTAATATTGTTATGTGTGAATTTGATCCTATCATTATGATGTTAGCTGGTTATTTTGCTCGTTAGTTGATGCAGTTTCTTCCTCGTCTCGATGGTCTTTATGTTTTGGCATGATTTTGCAGTGGCTGGTACCAGTTGTTCCTTTCCATGTTTAGCGCTTCCTTCAGGAGCTCTTTTAGGGCAGGCCTGGTGGTGACAAAATCTCTCAGCATTTGCTTGTCTGTAAAGTATTTTATTTCTCCTTCACTTATGAAGCTTAGTTTGCCTGGATATGAAATTCTGGGTTGAAAATTCTTTTCTTTAAGAATGTTGAATATTGGCCCCCACTGTCTTCTGGCTTGTAGAGTTTCTGCCGAGAGATCCGTGGTTAGTCTGATGGTCTTCCCTTTGAGGGTAACCCGACCTTTCTCTCTGGCTGCCCTTAACATTTTTTCCTTCATTTCAACTTTGGTGAATCTGACAATTATGTGTCTTGGAGTTGCTCTTCTCAAGGAGTATCTTTGTGGCGTTCTCTGTATTTCCTGAATCTGAATGTTGGCCTGCCTTGCTAGATTGGGGAATTTCTCCTGGATAATATACTGCAGAGTGTTTTCCAACTTGGTTCCATTCTCCCCTGTCACTTTCAGGTACACCAATCAGACATAGATTTGGTCTTTTCACATAGTCCCATATTTCTTGGAGGCTTTGCTCATTTCTTTTTATTCTTTTTTCTCTAAACTTCACTTCTCGCGTCATTTCATTCATTTCATCTTCCATTGCTGATACCCTTTCTTCCAGTTGATCGCGTCGGCTCCTGTGGCTTCTGCATTCTTCACATAGTTCTCGAGCCTTGGTTTTCAGCTCCATCAGCTCCTTAAGCACTTCTCTGTATTGGTTATTCTAGTTATACATTCTTCTAAATTTTTTTCAAAGTTTTCAACTTCTTTGCCTTTGGTTTGAATGTCCTCCCGTAGCTCAGAGTAATTTGATCTTCTGAAGCCTTCTTCTCTCAGCTTGTCAAAGTCATTCTCCATCCAGCTTTGTTCTGTTGCTGGTGAGGAACTGCGTTCCTTTGGAGGAGGAGAGGCACTCTGCTTTTTAGAGTTTCCAGTTTTTCTCTTCTGTTTTTTCCCCGTCTTTGTGGTTTTATCTTCTTTTGGTCTTTGATGATGGTGATGTACAGATGGGTTTTTGGTGTGGATGTCCTTTCTGTTTGTTAGTTTTCCTTCTAACAGACAGGACCCTCAGCTGCAGGTCTGTTGGAATACCCTGCCGTGTGAGGTGTCAGTGTGCCCCTGCTGGGGGGTGCCTCCCAGTTAGGCTGCTCAGGGGTCAGGGGTCAGGGAGCCACTTGAGGAGGCAGTCTGCCTGTTCTCAGATCTCTAGCTGCATGCTGGGAGAACCACTGCTCTCTTCAAAGCTGTCAGACAGGGACATTTAAGTCTGCAGAGGTTACTGCTGTCTTTTTGTTTGTCTGTGCCCTGCCCCCAGAGGTGGAGCCTACAGAGGCAGGCAGGTCTCCTTGAGCTGTGGTGGGCTCCACCCAGTTAGAGCTTCCAGGCTGCTTTGTTTACCTAAGCAAGCCTGGGCAATGGCGGGCGCCCCTCCCCCAGCCTCGCTGCTGCGTTGCAGTTTGATCTCAGACTGCTGTGCTAGTAATCAGCAAGACTCCATGGGCGTAGGACCCTCCCAGCCATGTGCGGGATATAATCTCGTGGTGCGCCATTTTTTAAGCCGGTGGGAAAAGCGCAGTATTCGGGTGGGAGTGACCCGATTTTCCAGGTGCGTCTGTCACGCCTTTCTTTGACTCGGAAAGGGAACTCCCTGACCCCTTGCGCTTCCCAGGTGAGGCAATGCCTGGCCCTGCTTCAGCTCGCACATGGTGCGCGCACCCACTTACCTGCACCCACTGTCTGGCACTCCCTAGTGAGATGAACCCAGTACCTCAGCTGGAAATGCAGAAGTCACCCGTCTTCTGCGTCGCTCACGCTGGGAGCTGTAGACCAGAGCTGTTCCTATTCAGCCATCTTGGCTCCTCCCCTACCATAAATGTTTCGAGGTAACCCCCCACCATAAAAACTCTTCGGAATGTTCACAAAATTTTAATAGTGTAAAGAGCTCTTGAGACTTAAGTTTGAGAATCGTTGCTGTGTTAATCTTTACAGAAAGAGAGAGAGAGAGTCTCATAAACTGCTAGGTCAGAAACCTTTTCATATAAGGTTGCAATTTTTTATTATTAATGATAATCCTTGGACAAATTAGACTAGTATGGTAATTCAAGTTGAAAACAGAAGAAAGGAATTCACTGAAGCTGAAAAGCACTATGGGAGAAATTAGTGAAGAAACTTTCATTGCTTGATTAGCTTCATGATGGAGAATGTAACAACACAGGCTTTTACAATATCAAATCTGAGATTTTTAAAATAAGATTTTGAAACAGAAGTTAGTTTTTTGCTTTGTACTGTGCTCAATACTGTATCCTCAAGGAGGTTTATATGGTTAATTAATAATTCTTGTAACAGCTATATAAATAAGTAAGCCAAAGCATGTTGGGGCTATTGATTTTGTGATCAAGGATAAACTTTGAAGGTTATTTATTATCAAATTGGTAGGGTCATTAAGAAAAATTATTTATAGCTTGAAAATAATGCGAAAGTGTTCCCAGTATATTCTTTGAAATTTATACTGAAAACTCCACAGTAGATTATTAAATGATCTATATAAGTATACCTGTTTGATGTTACTATTAAATAAAAGCTCTTACACTCATAAATTACATGTTATTGTATAGATTATATTCAAGAAAATTGCAAATAATTTCTATCTAGTACAAAATGCACATGAGTTTGAGTTTTTTCTCATCTAGGTAACTTTCCAGCAACCTTTATGCAAAAGGCTGTTATTTCCCCTTCATGCTGTAGTGATACATTCAAGGGTCCATACATATGTCATTTTGTCGACTTCAACCTCTTAATTCAAAAATGAGGCAACTGATGCCCAGAAGTATGAATTTACCAAAAACAAAAAGTCTACGACTAATATTTTAAGAATATATTGAGTCTATTTATAATGCCTTGGAACTATTTCTAAAGGTCAAAAATATCAAAATGTGGGCATGAGAAGAAGGAGATTCCAGGAAAAGAGGACAGTAATAACAAATGTTTGAAGATAAAATATTACAGGAGCACATCTATGAGAAAATGGAATCATTCAGCTTGAATAGAATAAATGTAACATAAAAAAAGTAGAGAGAATTGGCATAGGTTGAAGAGATCCTGAAAAGCCTTGAATACAAAGCTAAAGAATACTCACTGTACCTGGTAGTTTATTTTTGAAAACTTACAGGGAGGAGAATATAGCATTCGATTATTTGTCTTAGCCTCAGATATAGGGGACTATTTTTAATTTCAAATTAAGAGTCAGGAAATGGAAGAAGAACTTTTTAAATAATAATTATATTTTATAAATTTTAAAAGTTTTTATTGTCTGTCACAGATCAGAGGGATACTAAGGAGGTAAGGGGCAGAATAGAAAAGTACTTGCTGATATGGAGAAATAGAGCTTGTTTTCTATTAATAGGCAATGGAGGGGGTAATGCAGCAATCAAAGAATGAACAAATTCAAAAGCAAGTTAATATCTGTTCAAGACGAGTGCAGTCACAGGATGATATGCAAGAAAGTGGCTTAGGAGGTATTGAGTATTCAAAGAGGACCTTGCAGTCCTGTGAGACACAGTAAAGCTAAGGTCTGAATAACATGAAAGAGCTGCCATGAAGTGATCCGGAGGCAGAACATTATTCCAGGAACAGGAAAGGTCTAATATAAAGACCACAGTATAGAAACAGGCTTGCTATTTTCAAGGCCCAGAATGAAGGACAATAAAGCTAGAATATAAGGAACAAGTGAGATAGTGGTATAACATGGGGCCAGATTTTACAAAGCCTTGTAGGCAAGGCTTAGGGATTTGGGTTTTGTTCTAAGTCCTATAGGATGCGATTGGAGATTATCAGTTAGTATCCTCAAATGTATGTTTTATAAAGGTCACTCTCAGTGCTGTTTTAGGATTGGCTTGTGGAGTAGTAAAGATAAAAGGAGAGTCTACTTAACTGTGCTGTTTTCAAAGTGTCCTTTCGAGGTTAAGTCAGTAGAACTTGAATGTGTATTGGATATGATAAGTGATTTAAAAAAAATAATCAAGAAAAATTAACACAGTTTTCACTTAAGGAACTAGGTTGATTGGTATTTGCTCTTTATTTTTATTTTTAAGATGAGAAAGACTAGGGGTGAATGTTTTAACGAAAATGTTAGTTACTTCTTGTACATGAAGCTTGAGATACATATAATGCATTAAAGAGAAGTTTTCAAGTAGCTTGAAGCTCAGATAAGTCTTGGCACGATGTGAATTTGGAAGTTGTTGGCATATAGATGATATTTCAGTCCATGAGCATGGATGATATTGCTGAAATTAAACATTATTTTCATCAGTCCATTCCTGCATTTCCTCACCTCATCGTCAGTATTTCTCCATAGTTAATGTACCTATCATTCACTAATATTCAACTCAGTTCATCTAGGTGCCTAATCGTTAATTACCACTGAATTTAATAAAATTGCTAGGGGACAGCTACAAAATAAGTTCAGTTAAAAGGTATTTGCTGAAATCTCTGAGCTGTAATAAACATTACATGCTTACTGGTGTACTAATAAAAGTCTAGTTTTATTAAAATAATTTAATTTACTTTCCCAGAAAGAGTTTAATAAGCATTTGGATTAAATTGTTAGCTTAAAATACTCAATAAAATCAAGGCTGCAATAGGAAATGTAGTTGTGACTCCCAGGAGTGAAAGTGAATAGTAATCAGTGATTAGGAAGAAAAGAGAAAATGTATGCAGAAGACAATCCCTGGTGTTGCATGAACAGCCCCCGTGAGGTCAGGAGTCAGTATTCTAAAAAATCAAGATTTATAGCACTTTAGTGTTGGTGTCATTTTCCTTCTCTTACTTTGCTCCAGATGCAGAGGTGAAATGAATGGAAAGCAAGTAAATGGTACTGGTGATTTTCTTCTTATTCTTTTGGGGGAAAAAATTTGTAAATGCCATTACTCCAATTCCGTATTGAACTAAATTTTAACTGATACTGTATGGGTTTTTACAGACAACTGTTCTATTAGTGAATGAGATATTCTGA
Source organism: Homo sapiens (assembly GCF_000001405.40). Lineage (NCBI taxonomy): Eukaryota > Metazoa > Chordata > Mammalia > Primates > Hominidae > Homo > Homo sapiens. The sequence goes on along the minus strand of NC_000011.10, from coordinate 39,843,510 downwards.
CACTGAAGATTTAGCACAATTAAGACACCTTAACGTGGACAATTGAAATATGGAGCTTTTGAATGAATTTGTCAAATTATACATGCAGCTTGTTACAAGTAACATAGGCTGTGTACAGATGTGTAAGGTTGCATTTGACTTCTTACCATTCTTGAAACCTTCTGGAGATGGGCATTCACAGAAATACTTAAGGTATTTTTGTTATGTATGACTGAGAACAGAAGGATTTTAAAGAGAGGAACAAGTTAACTGCAGGACTGGGTGGAACATACTAGGAGTTGCTGAATAAATGCTGTTTATGTTTGCAAGACTCTAAGTCATGTGAGAATCATTTAGTGCCTTCTGTATGTTAATTGTTGTATTAGTTGCTATGCTTTCTTTCACATAATCAATTCAACAACCTTTTGATAGGTAATATCATTGCGTTCATTTTAGAGATAAAAATATGAGATCACAAAATCACACAATTAATAAAAAATTGAGCTTGAACTTGAACCTAGGCCTAGTTGACCCAAAAGCTTAGATTTTTAACCGTCGTGTATGCTAGTGAAATATATATTTGGGCATCTCTAGGGTAGAAAGTGTGTAGAAAATTTGGTTGCACAATACCTGTCTAATGTTTTTTGTCTATTGTCCTTTAAATTGGACAACAGACAATTCTATTTTGTCTATGTATAGAATAGACATAATTCTTAGCTTAAAATACTTTGAATATTTGTGGATCTATATTAAATTATGGAGATTTGGGCAAAAATCATTCCATTTTTAAAATTCAATATTCAGTGTAGTTTGTCCCTAAATTGGAAAACTGCCCAATTTTACTTATATGGCAAAAGGGAGATTATATAAGTGCATCTAATGTAATTGTACCATCCCTTAAAAATAAAAGCAGAACGAGAAATCATGGAAATTTCAACTTGCTGTGCCATTGCTGGTTTTGAATATAATGACAGCAATGTTAGAAGAAATAGAGTTCGCCTTAAGGGGCAGAGTAGAGGCAATACCCTCTCCCTCCGCATGCCAACTGACACTGAGTAATAAATAGGGACTTTAGTCCAAGAGATGCAATGAACTGGATCTTGCCAACTACGTAAAGTGAGAAGCAGATTCTTCCTCAGAGCCTCTGGAGAGGAATAGTTCTGATTCTTTGATGTTGGCCTTGGGCGATCCTGAGCAGAGGTTTCTGTTGGACCTGCCTGGATTTCGGATCTACAGAAACTGTGAGATAATAAGTAAGTGTTGTCCTAAGCTGCTAAGTCTGTGATTACTTGTACTCAGTATAGAAATACTGATGCAGTGAGAGAACAGTCAATGCACAGCACCCTCATTGTCTTGTTTCTGATGATTAGAAAGGCAATTGTAAGACCTTCTCTTTCCAGGAATAAGATGGATTCTCAAGAGACTCTGGGTGCCCTACAAGAAATATGGGAAAATAAAGTTCTATTTTTAGTGTTTTTAATGATTCTAAGTATCTACACCAAATAAAAATCCTGTTTTTAATGTCTAACCAAACCTCATTTGATTATTGTGACATTGTTATTGAATTAGGCCAGTGCTGTCAAAGGGGAGGGAGGGAACAAAGACAACATAATGAAACTCAATTTCAAAATCAATTGACAAGATATAGACATGCCTGGTAAAATCATAAGAAATCTCCCCCTTTGAACATCATCACTGTGTATGAAACTAGGCTCTCAGTATCAAGAAATATTGTCATAAAAGGAATAAATTGGGTAGTTTTCCAATTTAGGGACGAAGTATACAGAATGTTGGATTTTAAAAATTCAATGATTTTTGCCCAAATCTCCATAATTTAATATAGACCTACAAAAAAATCCCTGGAAGTATTTTAAGATAACTATCCTTTTTATAAGTACGTATATGTTGTTCACCTTGATATGTTCTTAGTAAAGTGCCAGTTTAAAAAAAAGTGATTTGCCTGAATGGCTTACTTCAATAAAAATAAAATGAATTTCATATTGATACTAGCATAGCCATTTTGTCCTCAACATCATTTTCACTACATCAGAGATGCTTCAGAAATAGGTACTGACAAGAGCCCTCCAATTAGATGAGTAGGAAATAAGCTCAAATGGAAAATACTGGTTTTAACATGGATGAGCCCTGAGAAATTATGGCTTTAAAAAGCTTCAGTTTTAATGAGACCACTGTGTCTCTCATAAGCATGCATTAGCAATGGGTTTTGTTTTTATCTTTTTTGCTCCAAAAACTTTACACCTAGTGTAGGCCAGTGACTTCCCTGGAGAGAATGATTCGAACGATTGAAAATTGGGAACAAGACTATTCAAATCCTGGCCCAGGAACATCTATTATTCTCATATTCATAATAAACACATCCAACTTCTGGAAGCATTAATTTCCTCTGTCTCCTTTCTAAGAGGATTCTGCTTTGAAACTCAAAAGGAAAACAAGAAGACAAACTATTTGCAAAAAAGAGCCTGCAAAACCAAGTCAATCCTAAGCCAAAAGAACCAAGCTGGAGGCATCATGCTACCTGACTTCAAACTATACTACAAGGCTACGGTAACCAAAACAGCATGGTACTGGTACCAAAACAGAGATATAGACCAATGAAACAGAACAGAGCCCTCAGAAATAATGCCACCTATCTACAACTATCTGATCTTTGACAAACCTGAGAAAAACAAGAAATGGGGAAAGGATTCCCTATTTAATAAATGGTGCTGGGAAAACTGGCTAGCCATATGTAGAAAGCTGAAACTGGATCCCTTCCTTACACCTTATACAAAAATTAATTCAAGATGGATTAAAGACTTCAATGTTAGACCTAAAACCATAAAAATCCTAGAAGAAAACCTAGGCAATACCATTCAGAACATAGGCATGGGCAAGGACTTCATGTCTAAAACACCAAAAGCAATGGCAACAAAAGCCAAAATTGACAAATGGGATCAAATTAAACTAAAGAGCTTCTGCACAGCAAAAGAAACTACCATCAGAGTGAACAGGAAACCTACAGAATGGGAGAAAATTTTTGCAATCTACTCATCTGACAAAGGGCTAGTATCCAGAATCTACAATGAACTCCAACAAATTTACAAGAAAAAAACAAACAACCCCATCAACAAGTGGGCGAAGGACATGAACAGACACTTCTCAAAAGAAGACATTTATGCAGCCAAAAGACCCATGAAAAAATGCTCATCATCACTGGCCATCAGAGAAATGCAAATCAAAACCACAATAAGATACCATCTCACACCAGTTAGAATGGTGATCATTAAAAAGTCAGGAAACAACAGGTTCTGGAGAGGATGTGGAGAAATAGGAACACTTTTACACTGTTGGTGGGACTGTAAACTAGTTCAACCCTTGTGGAAGTCAGTGTGGTGATTCCTCAGGGATCTAGAACTAGAAATACCATTTGACCCAGCCATCCCATTACTGGGTATATACCCAAAGGATTATAAAACATGCTGCTATAAAGACACATGCACACGTATGTTTATTGCGGCACTATTCACAATAGCAAAGACTTGGAACCAACCCAAATGTCCAACAATGATAGACTGGATTAAGAAAATGTGACACATATACACCATGGAATACTATGCAGCCATAAAATAGAATGAGTTCATGTCCTTTGTAGGGACATGGATGAAACTGGAACCCATCATTCTGAGCAAACTATCACAAGGACAGAAAACCAAACACCGCATGTTCTCACTCATAGGTGGGAATTGTACAGTGAGAACACATAGACACAGGAAGGGGAACATCACACACCGGGGCCTGTTGTGGGATTGGGGGAGAGGGGAGGGATAACACTAGGAAATATACCTAATGCTAAATGAAGAGTTAATGGGTGCAGCACACCAACATGGTGCATGTATACATATGTAACAAACCTGCACGTTGTGCACATGTACCCTAAAACTTAAAGTAATAAAAAATAAAAATAAAAATAAATTAAAAATCTGTATATGTGGGAGAAAGCTGAGAACATTTTCACCAAGTTAGTCTAGAAGTATTTCACATTGATGTAGCCCTTACTCCACTGGATGTCCACTAGGTATTAAAGACTACTTTGATCTCCATGTCTTCAACACAAAACACATGGATGGTAAATAATAGTAACCAATGACATTTTTAATTGTTAGTATATTTCAGGGCATAGATAGAATGTACTTCATTGCATTTAATCTTGACTATAGTTCTGTGTAATGGATGCTAGTTTTAAACACAAGATGTTGAGTTTTAGAGAGGATAAATGTTTTGCCTAGGGTAGAAAGCACATTTCAGAGCCCAGAGCTTGATAATGTTTGGTGAATAAATGAATGTTGATTTGATCTCTGTAGGATTTCTCTACTCAACTTCATTATGATTAAAATATCACTAGAATTGGTGAAATATATATATATTTTCTAAGTGACTTTTTTTTTTTTTTTGAGACGGAGTCTTACTCTGTCACCTGGGCTGGAGTGCAACGGCATGATCTCGGCTCACTGCAACCTCCACCTCCCAGGTTCAAGTGATTTTCCTGCCTTAGCCTCCCAAGTAGCTGGGATTACAGGTGCCTGCCACCACTCCCAGCTTGTGTTTTTAGTAAAGATGGGTTTTCACCATATTGGCCAGGCTGGTCTTGAACTCCTGACCTCAGGTGATCCACCTGCCTTAGCCTCCTAAAGTCTAAGTGAAATTTCTAAAAAATGTCACTAATTAAATTTTTGTTATATTTTGTTTCATATGTTTATCCCATTTTTAAGGTCCAAGTAATTGTTTTATACACTTTTATATAGACTTTACAATTCTTTTTTTATTATACTCAATATTTTCATGCTTAACACTTGACTAATGATTAAAATAGATTTGTGTTAATTTTACCTATATTTCCCTTCTGTTTTATATATTTATAACTCCTCATTTGTGTATATACTATGTGGAAATCTCATCTGATTTAAATTCTTTATCCATCAAGTGGGAAGAGAATGTAATTATCAAGATTATTTGTATGGTATTATGAGAAATATAATATGTGGACTCTAAAATGAGACAGTATATATTTTATTTATTCTTGGGTATTTTTATAATTTGCTTACTTTTATGTATATATTCATAATTTTGCAAATATTCAATATGATACAACATTAAATCATGAAATGCAAAAATTTCTATTTTAATTCTTTTCATGAGTATGTAAAGCGATTGAAACTAACCTACCTGATGAAACTTAATTGATATAACAAGGACTAGTTAATGCTAATTTATTGGCTTAAATTATATATATTGTATTGAATAAAAATTACAAATACTGTGCATGATCTACATGAGTATATCTCTATGTGTGTAAATACAGTATATATCTATGGGTACATGTATGTATATGTATATATATATGTAGTGCTTGTTTTGAAAATATGTTATTTTGTCAAATAAATTTAAAAATTTTGGGGCATGCACAGCATTACATCATTATCCTTGTTAAACAATTTATCACAGTACTTAGTACATAGTAGGAACTTATTACATAAAGGAACTATTAGATGTGCATATATATTACTGTAGAAGTTATCAATTTTTAGCTATATATTTTTTATCAATATAATTTTTTGAAATATACAATTTGAAATTATTTACAAGTAGAGTACATATTATAGGTCAACCCAAGGTTAAATATATACAGCTTTTCAGAAGGCAACCATGAGTGTGATTTTATATTTACTTACTCTGGCAGCTTCTAAAAATATTATGGTTAATTTCCAAGTATTGCTGATATATAAATTATGTGATTTAACTTAATTTTAGCTTGACACATCCAACTCACAGGAAATATCGGGAGCATAACAATTTTCACCATAGTTTACCTAAATTTGTATTGTTAGCAGTTTTGTATGAGATCGCTCTAGGGCCGTTAAAAAATCTTTTTTTATAAATGAAATTTTTGAAAATATAAAAACTAGAAATAATGTAATAAAACACTCTTACACTGCATTCAGTTTCAACAAGTATCAGCTTTTTGTCAGTTTGTTTCAGGTATTTTCCCTTCCTCTTTTTTTTTCCAACTTTTATTTTTGGTTCAGGGGATACATGTGCAGATTTGATACATGGTTAAATTATGTGTCTCTGAAGTTTGGTGTATGAATGATCCCATCACCCAAGGAGTAGGCATAGTACCCAACAGGTAGTTTTTCAACCTTTATCCCCATCCCAAGTTTCCCTCTCTAGTAGTCCCAGTGTGAATTGTCTCATTTTCATGTCTATGTATACTCAGTGTTTAGCTCCCACCTGTAAGAGAAAACTTGCTGTATTTGGTTTTCTGTTCTTTCATTAATTCATTTAGATTAATGGCCTTCTGCTACATCCATGTTGTTGCAAAGGACATGATTTCATTCTTTCTTTTTTATGGCAGTGTAGTATTCCATGGTCTTATATGTATGACATTTTCTTTATCCAGTTCAGGGTTGACAGCCATCTAGCTTGATTCTGTCTTTGCTATTTGGAATAGTGCTGCAATGAACATACAAGCGCCATATATACATATATATATACACATATATACACACACATATATATATACACACATATATATACACACATATATATGTGTGTATGTGTGTGTGTGTGTGTGTGTGTGTGTGTGTGTGTGTATTTAATGCTGGAGTATTTTCAAGCAATCCCAGATAGTATGTTACTTTATATTTTTAGACATTTTCTTCTTTCGTAAAGACTCACATACTGATATAGAGCTTTTTCCTTTTCTTTAGTTCACCAACATGATATTATTGATCTTTAAAAATTTATGCAAATTCTTTAATATCAGCTGATACATAAGTTTTCCTAATTGATTCACAGAGTTTATTGTACACTTGCTTGGTTCAAATCAGTCTTCAAACAAGGTGAAAATATTACCTTTAATTAATTATTATGTTTCTTAAGTATCTTTTATTCTATCCTATAATAGTGCTCTTCCTCCTTTTAAGTTACTTGTTGAAGAAATACATTTATTTATTGTTTAGAATCTCTCATGCTCTCTGTTTGAGTGATTGCTTCTTCATTATGTGAATTAGCTTGTTCTTCTTTCCCATCAAATTCTGGTAGATTGACAGTTAGATCCAGAGGCTTGGATACATTCAAGTTACGAGTTTTAGACTAGGATAATTCACTTATGGTTTTGTGTGTCTCTCTTACCTCACTTTATGGAGCACATCCTCTCCAGTAATCCACATTTGTGATGCTGAGATTGAACTGTGTTGGAGAGGTGTCACCCTGCTCTACCCCCCCTGCAGCATTTCATGTAGGGTTCTAATGCCATTAAGGACAATCAGTATGGCCACTCTAAGGCATCTTCTAAAGTCATGATTTCTGGTTCTTAAAAATTGGGTAAGTTATTTCAAGGTGCTTCACTTTTTTTTCTAGTAAAGAATGGAGATAAATATAGTCTTCTATCAGCTTTGTAGGGCTGCTATGTGGCGTTATATGCAAAACAGTGAGACAGTGATTGGCATATGGCACATGAAAATTTTTTTTTCTTATTTTTTTGAGACAAGGTCTTGCACTGTCACCCATGCTAAGGCAGTGATGTCATGGAACACTGCATTCTCAAACTCCTAGGTTCAAGTGATCCTCCTGCCTCAGCCTCCTGAGGTGCTGGGATTCCAGGCACACACAACTGTGCCCAGCTAATTATTGTATTATTTGTAGAGACAGGGTCTTGCTATGTTGCCCAGGCTGGTCTCAAACTCCTGGGCTCAAGCTATCCTCCCATCTCGGCCTCCCAAAATGCTTGGATTACAGGCATGAGCCACTGCACCTGGTAGAAAGTCTTTATAAATGTTTGCCTTTCTTATTATCATCATTGTTACAATCCAGCGTTAAGGCATATCCAAGAACTCATATTTTTGTTGTTTGTTTTCTGGGAATTTTTTTAACTTTTATTTTAAGTTGAGGGGTACATGTGCAGATTTGTTATAGAGGCAAACTCATATCAGTGGGGGTTTGTTGTACAGATTATTTCCCCATCCAGGTATCAAGCCTAGTATCCATTAGTTATTTTTTCTGATCCTCTCCCTCCTCCTATCCTCCACCCTCCAATAGGCTGTAGTGTGTGTTGCTCCCCTCTCTCTATGTGTCCATGTGTTCTCATCATTCAGCTCCCACTTAAAAGTGAGAACATGTGGTATTTGGTTTTCTGTTCCTGTGTTAGTGTGCTAAGAATAATGGCCTTCCAGTTGCATCCATGTTCCTGCAAATGACATAATCTCATTCTTTTTTATGACTGCCTAGTATTCCATGGTGTATATGTACCACATTTTCTCTATCCAGTCTACCATTGATGGGCATTCAGGTTGATTTCATGTCCTGCTATTCACTATGTGAATAGTGCTGCAGTCATCATATGTATGCTTATGTCTTTATGATAGAATAATTTATTTTCCTTTGGGGATAGACCCAGTAATGGAATTGCTGCATAACATGGTAGTTCTCTTTTTAGGTCTTTAAGGAATTGTCATACTGTTTTCCATAATGGCTGAACTAATTTACACTCCCACCAACAGTGCATAAGTGTTTCTGTTTCTCTGCAATGTCACCAGCACCTGTTATTTTTTGACTTTTTAGTAATACTCATCTGACTGCTATGAGATGGTATCTCATTGTGGTTTTGATTTGTATTTCTCTAGTGATCAGTGATGTTCAGCTTTTGTACATATGCTTTTTAGTCATATGTACGTCTTCTTTTGATAACTGTTCATGTCCCTTGTACACTGTTTAATGGGTTTATTTTTCTTGTAGATTTATGTTCCTTATAGATGTTGGATATTACATCTTTCTCAGTTGCATAGTTTGCGAATTTTCTCCCATTCTGTATGTTGTCTGTTTACCCTGTTGGTAGTTTCTTTTGCTGTGCAGAAGATCTTTAGTTTAATTAGATCCCATTTGCCAATGTTTGCTTTTGTTGCAATTGCTTTTGGCATTTTCATCATGAAATCTTTGCCTGTTCCTATGTCCAGAATCATATTGCCTAGGTTATCTTCCAGGGTTTTATAGTTTTCGGTTTTACATTTCAGTCTTTGATCCATCCTGAGATGATTTTTTTATATGGTGTAAGGAAGGGGTCCAGTTTCAGTCTTCTACACGTGAGTCCACATTTTAATATGTATAGTATTACTCTTCTCCAATTCATTCCTGCCAACTCTGTTATTAAGCACTATTTTGGGAAAGGCTGCCAAAGTATATATTAGAGATCTTGGAACTTTGGGGAAGATTGGATTTAAATCAATGTCTGAGATGTGTGATTGCAGAAATGGATCAATACACATAAGAAGCAAATGCAGAATGATCTCATTAATGCAACAGAAGCAGGAAAGAAAATCTAAAAATAATTAGGAGCTATCTAAGACCCCAATAATTCCTATAAATATTGGGACCAACTGCACTCCTTATCACATATAGGGTTAGAGTTTGAGTGGTTCAATCCTAAATCTGAAAAACAAGTTGTGTCTGGCATACTGGAGAAACCCAGCCACTAATGTATGCACAGAAAAATTATTTTAAGTGGTTGTTACCCAGTTAAACAGTTTGAACTTTTTAACTAGACAATTGGAATTTTTAAACTTAAAATTATGCAACATTTCTGATGAAAATAGTTTTATATTATTACAGATAAACCAGAGTACAAGTGAAAATGGTTAAAAAGAAGCATTTATACTTTCAGGAGTTCTCAATGTTGCAAGAGGAAGAAAAAGTTTTAGTGTTGGCTTTGTTTGAGGGTTTCTTCTTAAATTAGATCTACTGTTTGATAAAATATGTTACTCTTCTTCTGTTTAAACTTCAAAAGATTAGAGAGAATTAAGCACCGGTAGAGTATGTATTTGTTGTAATACTGAAGTATTATACTGCTTTATAAATGAGAATATATGGTTTTATGCAAATTTGCAGGCATGTTTACATCCATTACTTCATTAAATCTTCAGAACAACACTGTGAGGCTAACAGATGAAGTAACTGCTCAGTGGGGAGAAAAGTTTGCCAAGGTCTCAATACATGATCTTGTTACCAGAGTTGATTTTGAAGCAAAGATGCCTGACTTTATTTCCAGTGCTTTCACTATGAGCTTTCAATGGGATACTATGGAAAATAATGGCAAGTAAATTATCAAAAGAAATTGAAAGTGTTCGTAATATAAGTAAAGAAGCAACAGATTAAAGCATAAAGCATTAAAATATGTGTTAAAATAACATTTACTTTAAAATATTTCTTACATGTATAGAACTACTAACTTTAATCTTCATATCTGTTAAAAAATACGGGCTTGGAACCATAAATTAACTTCAATATTTTTAATTATAGAGATTTTTCCTTTTTGCAAGTTGCAGAAAAGTGATATAAAATATGCCATAATATTCTTTACATGTTACTAATAATTTTTTTTTTTTAATGGAGTCTCGCTCTGTCGCCCAGGCTGGAGTGCAGTGGCGTGATCTCGGCTCACTGCAAGCTCCGCCTCCCAGGTTCATGCCATTCTCCTGCCTCAGCCTCCCGAGTAGCTGGGACTACAGAAGCCTGCCACCACGCCCGGCTAATTTTTTTGTATTTTTTTATAGAGATGGTGTTTCACCGTGCTAGCCAGGATGGCCTCGATCTCCTGACCTCATGATCCACCCGTCTCGGCTTCCCAAAGTGCTGGGGTTACAGGCGTGAGCCGCCACGCCCAGCCATATTTTACTAATAATTAAAATAATTTTTGTTAATACTTTATTAAATACTGCTTAAATAAATGACATACAAATTTTAAGAACCATTTGAATCCCATATTATATATTTATAATTCATATAATGTAAGAAAGTGTCTATATCTTTGTTTTGATTGCATTTCCAAAAATTTTCATCTCTTTATGTGTAGCTCTTTTATATTCTTAAGGAGCATCTGTCAGTCGTAAACTAACTTAAAGAAGTTAGAGTACATGTGAGCCAGGCACGGTGGCTCTCACCTGTAATCCCAGCATTTTGGGAGGCCAAGGCGGGCGGATCACCTGAGGCCGGGAGTTCAAGACCAGCCTGACCAACATGGAGAAACCCTGTCTCTACTAAAAATACAAAATTAGCTGGGCGTTGTGGCACATGTCTGTAATTTCAGCTACTTGGGAGGCTGAGGCAGGAGAATCACTTGAACCTGGGAGGCAGAGGTTGCGGTGAGCCGAGATCACACCATTGCACTCCAGCCTGGGCAACAAGAGCGAAACTCTGTCTCAAAAAAAGAAAAGAACTTGGAGTACATGCTTTATCTTTTATTTGTTATATTACAAAGAAGTAGACTTAATTGCATTTGAGTGATAATTTGAAACCAGGCCATAAATAACACTTTTTTTAGTTACATTATAATTTTTCAAAAATTCAGCTAAAACTGTACAGGAGACTGAGTGATAGATTCTCTGGTTTGTCAATTTTAGATGGAATTAGTAAGAGGACTCTAGTAATTTATCAACAATCTTTCTACATACAACACGGTATTCTTACTATTGTGAAAAATTTGAAAGTTTACATTTTACGGAAGAACATAGATGTTTAATTATATACATTGATATACTAAATAAATATAATGTGATATAAACTACAGCTCTCTTATAATGTGTGTCATGATTATTTGCCCAGTGGATGGAAGATATACTAAAATTTATATTTAGACAAATATTGTGGTTTTTCCCATCAATTTCAATGGGAATTACTTTTGCACCAACCTAACACCTAAAGTGTAAAGCATCTTTTATTTAATATTACTTTGCTCCCCTCCAACAGAAAAAAAAAATTACTTTTATTTATCCAGGTGAAACCTGAAAAGCCAGTTTCTAGTACCTACTAGGGTGACTTGCAATTAGAAAGTATTTGATAAATATCTTATGAATCAAAAAATAAGTATAGAAAAATGCACAACCTGCACATTGAAGAAACTAAACTGCTCCTACTGGCTGGAACCTGGGCCGTGCTTTAGATTTGCATCATATCATCAAGTCTTCAAAACATCTCTGAAATTAGTGGTATTAACTCTATTGCGTTGATGGAGTAATTAGAGGTGCAAAAGCCTCGTTGTTTCTTCACATTTTCACAGACAAGCTAGAATGAGAACCCAGATAATTCAGCTGTGAACGTTTATGCTCATTCTACTGAACTATTCAATGTTGTTACCACCTTTTTATTTAGATGTAGTTTTTAATTTAAATGTTATTCAGATGTTTTTAAAAACTTTGATAACTCCTATACTAAATGTCTTTTTGTAGCTCTTGATAGAGATGTTTTAAAGAAAAATAATTGAAGATTTTTATCCCTCTGATTTTTAAGAAGGAAAGAGAGGAACTGTAGAGCCTAGGGAGCTTTTTTTCTATTTGAAGCCAATCTTTTTTTTTTTTTTTTCTATATTAAAGAAAACACTTCCTAGAGAAATGAGATTGTATTAGTGGGTTCTTACGCTACTATGAAGAAACATCCAAGACTAAATAATTTATAAAAGAAAGAGGTTTAATTGACTCACAGTTCTGCATGGCTGGGGAGGGCTCAGGAAACTCACAATCATGGTGGAAGGGGAAGCAAACATGTCCTTCTTCACATGGCAGCAGAAGAGAGAAGTGCCAGTAAGGGAAATGTCCTATTTTTATAAAACCATCTCAGATATTGTGAGAATTCACTCACTATCATGAGAACAGCATGGGGGAAACTGCCCCGATGAGTCAATTACCTCCCACCAGGTCCCTCCCACGAACGTAGGGATTATGGGATTACAATTCAAGATGAGATTAGGGTGGGGACTCAGAGCCAGACCATATCAGATATGTAACTTAAATTAGTTTAATGTTTTCTGTGTGTGTGTGTGTGTGTGTGTGTGTGTGTGTGTGTGTGTTTGAGACAGGATCTTGCTCTGTTGCTCAGGCTGGAGTGCACTGGCACAATCATGGCTCACTGCATCCTTGAAATCCTGAGCTCAAGCGATCTTCTCATCTCAGCCTCCCAAGTAGCTGGGACTACAGGCATGAGACACCACACCCATTTATTTATTTATTTATTCGTAGAGACAAAGAGTCTCACTATGTTGCCAAGTCTGGTCTGAAACTCCTGGCCTCAAGGGATCCTCAGACTCTCAAATTGTTGGGACTACAGGCATGAGCCACCACACCCAGCCTAATATTTTTGCAATAAGAAACAGGGAAAAGATCTGAATATTGACGTAGATCTCACTTCTTTCTCTCTCTCCTGACTACCTACCTTCCTACATATTTTCCTTCATTCTCTTCCTTTCCTCTTTTCAGTTAATGTCTTTCAATCTTTTTCATCTACTTTCTAACTTCCTAGCTTACTCTTTTCTTTATTTTCTTTTTCTTATATCTTTCATCTCTTCCTCTCTCATTCTTTCTCCCTTTCTCCATCGTATCCTTCTTTCTTTTTCCCTTTCTTTCTCCTCACGTTATTTCGTTCTTAAGTGAAGGCAGCTTTTTAAAAAAATTCTATATACTAAAAACTATTTTTCCCAAGCTATATGCTCCTCTGTGATTCTTATTGTTGCTTGGGTCATTTTCAAATGTGCCTGTGGTAGTTAATGGAAACAGCTGCATTCAAGAGAGAAGTTTCTGACAAGACAGATATGAACAAAACGTAACAGCAATCACTTTCTCAACTCTGGTTAAGCCAAAATTTGTTTTATATTGCTGATTGTTCTATAGTAAAAACTGCCACCAAAGAACAATACTTTCCATTCTTAGCACATTTAGAAATTATGTAAATTAAAAGAGGAGACAAGAATATTCGGATGCACTTGAGTATATCTCTGTGTAATGACCACAGTTGTTCGATTTATCTCTTCAAACTGTCAGTATCAGAGGCTTCCAATGGAGAGCCCAGATTAAAAAGGCAAATGAATCACAAACTTGCTCATCCTTTCTGCAGATGACTATCTAGCATTGTGCTTCAGCTTTATTTAAAGTATACTTGTCTGGTGAAAGCTAATATGAGACTTGGAAGGGATAATGACTAGGGAATGCATCCATTCATAATGGTAAGAGAGGCTTTAAGTGTCGAGGATTTAAATTGTATTTGGGATCTGACACATACGATTATCTATATTTGGATTTAGAGCTATCAAAATATCCATCAAAAAGGCACAGATAAAAGATAGTGGCTTGAAATGTGAATACATTATTCAAGTCAAGAAGTAAATACTTTTTGTGTTGGCATCAAATGTTATCTGTTGTAAATAAAAGTACATTTTTGATATTAGTTTAATCTTGCCAAATTAATAGACACTAAACAGATAAATATGGTGAGACCTGTTCTCTGGCAGACAATATCGACTGCCTAAACAACAGCTAACCCACTTCTCTAATATTTCTTTCTTCTTTCAATGTCTGCATGTAATGCCTGAGATGCTGCAGCCATCTTGTGATCGTGAGGAGTCATCAATGACATGTTTAAGGTGGCAGAGTGAAAACATAGAAAGCTCTAGGAACCTTGATGAGTGTCTACATTAATTTTTGAACTGTTTAATCTCTGAATTTTAGTTTGGCAAGATCACAGGCTGAAAGACCCTTGTTAGAGATGATGATTTTTTTTCTAGTTTACTGTGAATCTATTGTATTCTGTGATCCCAGAGGATAGTTTTATTTTTATACCCTTTGCATCAGAAGAGTTATGAAAGTGGTTAGATTTTTACTTAACTAGTGTAGCAATAATTTTTGATGACCCATGTCATATCCCCTTGGATAAATGTCTTAGTCCTTTGTTGTTATAAAGAAAATCTTAGACCAATGCTAGCTTCTCTGGGTACTGGCAGAATCAAGACCCTTTAGCCTGCACCAGTGGCTCTCAAAACACATTTTGTTTTTTTTGAGACAGGATTTGGCTCTGTCACACAGGCTGCAGTGCAGTGGTGCAATCTCATCTCACAGCAACCTTGGCCTCCTGGGTTCAAGCCATCCTCCCACCTCAGCCTCCCAAATAACTGGGACCACAGGCACATGCCACCATGCCTGGCTAATTTTTGTATTTTTTGTGAAGACAAGGTTTCACTATGTTGCCCAGGCCAGTCTCGAACTTCTGGGCTCAAGTGATTCTTCTGCCTCAGCATCCCAAAGTGCTGAGACTTCAGGCATGAGCCGCGATGCCTGGCCCCATAAAACATTTTAATATAAACTTTTACTTTTTTTGTGGCTTGCCTTTACAGATTCTTCAATCCTAATTTCTAAGGGAACTTTTCAAACAATTTACCTGCACCAGTGTCCTCACATCAGGCTTCGTACTTCAGTAGACTCAAACTAATACACCTGCTGTCAAATATACCTAGTATCATAATTTCAGGAATTTAAATTGCATAATGTTCACAAGAACTAGAAACACCCACAAATAGTTAAACTAGAAAATACCTGGTTATGCTGAGTTAAACTAGTTGATTGTAGATCAACTAATGTTAAGGTATACAAATTTCCACCCATCAGGTGATGGAGGGTAGATAAGAATAGCACGGAAACCAGTGGTAAAAAGCTGATGCTTAGATAAGGATCACTATTAAGAGTAAAATTATATCCAAGATAACCAAATCTCCTTAAGTGTAGTCAATTGAAAACCTAAACTCCTTTGTAATGATTGGCTGGGTGCAGCAGCTCATGCCTGTAATCCCAGCCCTTTGGAAGACTGAGACGGCAGGACCGCTTGAGCCCAGGAGTTTGAGACCAGCCTGGAAAACATAATAAGACTTTGTCTCTACAAAAAATGAATAATTAGCTGGGCACAGTGGCACACATCTGTGGTTCCAGCTACTCAGGAGGCTGAGGTGGGAGAATCGCTTGAGCATGGGCGGTTGAGGCTGCAATGAGCTGTGATTATGCTACTGCACTCCAGCCTGGGTGACTGAGCAGGATCTTGTCTCAAATAAATAAATAAGTATGTAAATAAAATAAAAGTTAAATTTAGTTTCAGTTTAAAACTGTGATTTAAGAGTTTGAAAATATTTCCTACACTCAGCTCACTGTAGTCTCACCACCAACCTTCCCACTTACCAACGACCTCCCACACTATATAGACAATTTTCTGTGTAAAGTATGATATCCTGTTAGGTTAGTCTAATTAGCTGTCTTCAGAGAGTATGTATAATTACTATATATTAACATTTAAAGATTCTCAAAGGCCAGAGACAAAATTTCTATGTGAAGAATTTAAATGAGTGTATATTTTAAATGTACTTTTCTAACCAATAGTGGATGGACAAACAAGGTATGTTGTATAAAAACAAATAAACAGATACTAAGTTAAAGTATTGCATATTTTAATGAATGCTTTTTTATAAATATA
Source organism: Homo sapiens (assembly GCF_000001405.40). Classification (NCBI taxonomy): domain Eukaryota; kingdom Metazoa; phylum Chordata; class Mammalia; order Primates; family Hominidae; genus Homo; species Homo sapiens. The sequence continues at coordinate 39,827,202 of NC_000011.10, read as the reverse complement.
ATTCAGATACTGAATGTATAAGAGACATGTAAGCAATTCCAAAGAAATCCCTGTGGTCATAATGTACTCTTCTCCCTTATCGTAACTTTCAGTAGAATCATCAGTGCTTTACTATATGTACATTGTCTACTAAAGTTAAAGGCTTATTGGAGGCAGATATAATTTATCTTTGCTGCTCTCCTTGTACATTAATATAGTATTTTACATACACAGTTTATATTTTACTATGCTACATATACAATCTTCTCAATTTTAGATTCATATTTCCAACTGTCTATTTTGCATCTGACTTACTTGGATGTCTACAGGCAAGTCAAGCTATCCATGCCCATATCCAAACTCTTGATTTTGCCCTAAACTACGTGTGTTCTTCCTGTTGTCTGCTCATCTTAGTAAATGCAAATGTCTCAGGTCGGTTGCTTAGGCTAAAGACTTGAGCCTTCATCCTTGACAACTCTCCTTTCTTCACAACATATATCTAATCCATTAAAAAATTTTAAAAATCTGTTACCTTTCAAGATTAATCAAAAGTTTGACCACTTCTAACCACCTCCACCCATAATATCTTATCCAAGACATCTTTGTATCTCATTGACTTACTGTAGTTGCCTCCTCATTGATCTCTTTCTTCCCACTCTTTCTCCTGTAATGTGTGTTTTCAACTCAGCTGTCGGGACTTTCTGGCTCAAAGGATCACCACTTACATGGCCATTTATGATGTGGGCTTTATTTACCTCTCTACCTTATCTGTTGATAATTTCTCCTTGTTTACTCTGCTAAAGGGACATTGTGTTGGTGCTGTTCCTTGAACCTGCCAAGGATACTCCTGCTTCAGGGCTGTTACTTCACTTGCCATTTCTTTTACTTCATATAGTCTCACTTTAAATAACTCATGGCTTGTTCCCCATATTATTATGCTAGGGCTGCCATAACATAATACCACTGACTGGGTGGCTTAAGCAAGAGAAATTTATTTACTCAAAATTCTGGAGGCTAAAGTCTAAGACCAAGACATCAGCAGGATCAGTTTCTCCTGAAGCCTCACTTCGTGGCTTTCATATGGCCACCTCCTCACTGTGTTCTCACAAGGCCTTTCCTCTGCTCATGCACACTCCTGGTATTTCTTCCTCTTCTTATAAGGACAACAGTCTTATTGGATTAGGACCTCAACCTTATGACCTCATTTAACCTTAATTATGTCTTTAAAATTCTCATCTTCACATAGTCACATTAGGGTTGGTACATCAATCTGGAATTTAGGGAGGACACAAATCAGTTTATGACATTTATTTATTCTTTTTATACCTTACTACCAGTCTTTGAAAACCGTACTCTCCTTACGATCAAATTTTATGCACCAGTCCGTTTTTATTCTTTATGTAAATTATTGTCATCTAAGAATAATTATTGTTTACTGTCTGTCTTCCCCATAAGATAGAAACTCCATGAGAAGAAGAACTTTCTTTTTTCCTCAGGTTTATTTTTTTATTTTTTTATTTTGGATTCAGGCATACATGTGCAGGTTAGTTGCATGGGTATATTGGATAATGCTGAGGTTTGGGCTTCTAATGATCTCATTGCTCAAGTTGCAAACATAGTTACTGATTAGTAGTTTTTCAACCCCTGCTCTCTCTGTCCCTCTCCTGTTTTGGAACCCTCAATGTCTCTTTTCATCTTTGTGTTTGCATATACCCAATGTTTAATTGCTGCTTATAAGTGAGAACATGCTGTATTTGGTTTTCTGTTTGTGCGTTAATTCACTTAGGATAATCGCTTCCAGCTGCATCCATTTTGTTGCAAAGGACATGATTTCATTCCTTTTTATGGCTGCATGGTATTCCATGGTATAGGTACCACATTTTCTTTACACACTCCACTGTTGGCAGGTATCTGTATTGATTCCAACTCCTTTGCTGTTGTAAACAGTGCTGTGATGAACATATTAATGCAGGTATCTTTTTGGTAGAGCAATTTATTTTATACCCAGTAATGGGATTGCTGGGTTAAATGGTAATTCTGTTTTTAGTTCTTTGAGAAATCTCCAAACAGCTTTCCACAGTGACTAATTTTCATTCCCACAAACACTGTGTAAGCATTCCCTTTTCTCTGCAACCTTGCCAGCATCTGTTATTTTTTGATTTTTTAATATAGCCATTCTGATTGCTGTAGGTTAGCATCTCATTGTGGTTTTGATTTGCATCTCTTTACTGATTCATGATGTCTAACATTTTTTCATAGTTGTTGGCCCCCTGTGTGTCTTCTTTTGAAAAGTGTCTGTTCATGTCTTTTGCCCATTTTCTAATGGGGCTATTTGTTTTTTCTTGTTGATTTCATTAAGTTCCTTATAGATTCTGGATATTAGTTCTTTGACAGACACATAGTTTGCAAATATTTTCTTCCATTCTGTGGATTGTTTACTCTGTTGATAGTTTCTTTTGCTGTGCAGAAGCTCTTTAGTTTAATTAGATCACAATTGTCATTGTTTGTTTTGTTAAATTTGCTTTTGATGACTTAGTCATAAATTCTTTGCCAAGGCCAATGTCTAGAAGAGTATTTCCTAGGTTTTCTTCTAGAATTCTTATAGGTGAGGTCTTACATTTAAGTCTTAATCCATCATGAGTTAATTATTATATATGGTGAGAAGTAGGGTTTCAGTTTCATTTATCTGCATATGGTTAGCCAGTTTTCTCAGCATCATTTATTGAATATGGTATTTTTTCATCATTTTTAATTTTTTTTTTACTTTGTTGAAGATTGATTGGTTGTAGTCATGCAGTTTTATTTCATGGATTTCCATTCTGTCCTTTTGGTCTGTGTGTCTATTTTTGTACCAGTACTGATATAGTTTGGATGTTTGTCCCTCCAAATCTCATGTTGAAATGTTATCTTCACTGTTGAAGGTGGGGCCTGGTGGGAGATCTTTGCATCATCTGAGCAGGTCCCTAATGAATGGCTTGGTTTTCTCTGTGGTAATGAGTCACACAAGATCTGGTTGTTTAAAAGAACCTGACACTTCCTTCTTCTCTTTCTTGCTGTCTCTCATCATGTAAGACACTGGTACCTCCTTTGCATTCTGCCATGTTTGTAAGCTCCCAGAAGCCCTCACCAGAAACTGAGCAGATTCAGGTGTCATGCTTCCTTTACATTCTACAAAACTGTGAGCCAAATAAACCTCTTTTCTTTATAAATTACCCAGTGTCAGGTATTTCTTCACAATATTCAAAATGTACTAACACAAGGACCTTTTGGTTACTGTAGCCTTGTAACATAATCCCCCACAAGGAAAACCAATGAGGCTTAACCAAAACTGTGACCTAACCAACAATGCACAAGATGTCTCCAAAGAAGTGCAAAGTAGTCCTCATAAGACAAATAAAGTTTTGCAAGCCATAATTGGAGTACAACCCACATTTCTGTCCAGACATATTTTTTAAGGATCTTAGCTTCCCAGCTGACCATCTGTACACAAAGGTGAAAAGCCTCACGTGCCCTCACAGAGAGAAAACAGGAAATAAAAAGCCGGCCATTATGAAAGAGAAAAAGATCAATAATTGACAAAAGTTACATAAATTTCAATCCAAAAGGGTTTCCTGACTGGGGATCAAACCCGGGCTGTGGCAGTGAAATCACAAAATTTTAACTATTTAACATCACAAGGCAGAGTGGCTTTCATTGTTATTCCCTCAGGACATCCGAAGTATGCAGTTTGAGCTTACAAAGGATTTTAACTTTGTTTCAGGTCAAATTTTGCTCTTTAATTTAATCAAGATAATTTTTAAGGCTAGCCATCATACTATTATGTGTCCTTTGTTAAAAAAGTTATATCTTCCCATTGTTCTTAAGCATGTAAGCCACTGGGGTTCTTTATGGCAGCTAATCAAAGATTGTCCCCTTAGAACTAAGTTTCTCTATACTGTAAAATTCTCTATCCCCTTAGAAGTAAAGTTCTTTGTACTGTCCCCTTAAAAACAACAGTTTTCTCTCCTGTCTTCTTAGAAAAAATGTTCTCCCTTAGAGAAGTATGGTTCTCTACAAGTGCACTCACCTTAACTTGAAGTCTCTTAAGTATCCATTGTGTGAACATCCTCACAAAACCTTATGGACCAGCTGAGTCCAATTGGACTGGGAAATCCCTCCAAACCTGGGGCTGACAGGGAAGACCCCTCTGGGGTCCAGATTGAGGGAACCAGGAAGGATGGGAAGGTACCTCCTAAATCCAGGGCCAACAGAGGTGTTCTCTTCAGGGTCCAGAATTGAGGGAATTGAGACAAGGTCTGGGAAGGAATTAGGAAGAAATGAAAAGAAGTGGAGAAAAATAACACTTCCAAAATTTTCAACTTAAAAGCAGGAGATCTTAGATTGGGGGGAAATTACCCAGCTTCCTCCTCAATCATGTCAACTGAAAAATGATGAGGTTTGTAAATAAAGAAGAGCTTTGTTTCTTGTAAAGGGTTGTAGCCTGCAGTGTGGCCATTCTACAGGCTGGGGAGCAAAGCCTCTGGCAGGAAGCAAGAAACAGATACTTTCTTCCTTTTTTATTTTGGCAGAAATTATACTTATCTTAAGATTGATGCCTGGCACAGAATAGATTCTCAATACATAGTTGTTCAAAAAAAAAATGAACTATTTTAATTGATAATGCAATGAGGTATATCAGTAAAAATCAAAGTAGGAAATAAGAAACTCAAGTGAGACTATTTAGATTGGGCAGAGTTAAAGAAGCCAACAAGTGATGACAAAACACCAAGGACATTTCCACAGTAGGAAATCATCTCCTCTAGTACTGAAGGGTCAAGGAGAGGACTATATACATCTGGGGTCAAGAAACAGAACTATCCAAGTGGATCCATGACTATAGGGAATGGAGACTCTGCCAAAACTATACTGAGGCAGGAAGGGTGAGGAGAAAACAAGTAGACATCACTTCCTTTTCTTTCTCATATCCCTTTGATATTTCCCATTGGCTTAAAGAATCAGTGGAAAGCAAGAGAGTGTAAATGAAGCAGTCTGTGGAGATCTGTCACCTGAGTAGGGCAGCAAAGTGGAAAAAATGGATCTTCTTGGAGAGAGTAAGAGGAAAAGTGGAAATTAACCCACACAAGGGGGAATATTTTGGTAGTTGTTAATGTGTCTTTCTGTTTTTTTATTTTGTCTTCATGTCCTTCTCCTTAGTCATCTTGAGACACCTTTCTACTACCAGGAGTGGTCCAGGTAGGGAAAGAGTGGGGAATGTTCAGAATTGTTAATGGTAAAATGCAGAGTAATAAAGGGCTGCTCTTCAGCTGCCAGAATTCACAGAAATAACTTTGCAATAAGACAGAAGAGTTTATATTCCAGGATTTGAGAAAAGATTGAGGATTTTTAAAATTGTCTTAGCACATCAAGAACCAATTCTGTGTTCAGGTCATAGGACATACCTGAGAAGAAGCCTCCTCTGCTTATTACTCAGCCATGAGGCTGGCACACTAAATGGCAACATGAAAGAGCAAAGGATTGGAATCTCATACCAGAGAGAATGATGTGTGCATCTTAAGTGGAGGGAACATTGAAGGCAGGGAGTTTTTCTCCTTATCTAACAAAGAACTCTGACAGATAATATCATTACATCAAGGAGGCTAGTGGTGTTAGTCATCTTTTAACATAAACTCATGGTCCAGCATTGTTAAGTCAAAAAAGAAACTGATTTTAGCTTGCCCCCATTCCTATATAACGTGGATGCATCTATTTTCTTCCAGACGTGTGATGTGGTTTGTCTGTGTCTCCATCCCAATCTCATGTAGTAGGAGGGATCTAGTGGGAGGTAATTGAATCATTGGGGGCAGGTTTTTTCTGTGCTGTTCTCATGATAGTGAATAATCCTCACAAGATCTGATGGTTTTATAAAGGGCAGTTCCCTTGCACACGTCCTCTTGTCTGCCGCTATATAAGACATGCCTTTGCTCCTCCTTCGCCTTCCGCCATGATTGTGAGGCCTCCCAAGCCATGTGGAACTGAGTCCATTAAACCTCTTTTTCTTTATAAATTACCCACTCTTGGGTATTTCTTTATAGCAGTATGAAAATGGACTAATACAGTAAATTGGTACTGATAGAGTGGGGTACTGCTGCTAAAATACTGAAAAATGTTGACATGACTTTGGAACTGGGTAACAGGCAGAGTTTGGAACCTTTTGGAGGGGTCAGAAGAAGACAGGAAAATGTGGGAAAGTTTGGAACTTGAACTTCCTAGAGTTGTGGAGGGTGCCAAAGACAGGAAGATGTGGGAAAGTTTGGAACTTCCTAGAGACTTGTTGAATGGCTTTGACCAAAATGCTGATAGTGATATGGACAATGGATTGCAGGCTCAGGTGGTTTCAGATGGAGACAAAGAACTTGTTGGGAAATGGAATAAAGGTTACTCTTGCTATGCAAAGTGACTGGAGGCATTTTTTTCCCTGCCCTAGAGATCTGTAGAACATTGAACTTTAGAGAGATTATTTAGGGTATGTGGTGGAAGAAATTTCTAAGCAGAAAATTGTTCAAGAAGTGACTTGGGTGCTCTTAAAAGCATTCAGTTTTGTTCATTCACAAAAATATAGTTTGGAATTGGAACTTATGTTTAAAAGGGAAACAGAGCATAAAAGTTTGGAAAATTTGCAGCTTGATGATGTGATAGAAAAGGAAAACCCATTTTGTGAGGAGAAATTCAAGCTGGCTGCAGAAATTTGCATAACTAATGAGGAGCCAAATGTTAATCACAAGACAATGGGGAAAATGTCTCCAGGGCATGTCAGAGACCTTCACAGCAGCTCCTCCCACCACAGGACCAGAGGCCTGGGGGAGCAGGGAATGGTCTTCTGAGCCTGGTCCAGGGCCTCCCTGCTGTGTGCAGCCTTGGGACTTGATGCCCTGCATCCCAGTTGCTTCAGCTCCAGCCATGGCTAAGAGGGGCCAAGGTATAGCTCAGGCCATTGCTTCAGAGGGTGCAAGCCCCTAGCCTTGGCAGTTTACATGTGCTGTTGGGCCTGTGAGTGCACAGAAGTCAAGAATTGAGATTTGAGAACCTCCATTTAGATTTCAGAGGATGTATGGAAATGCCTAGATGTCCAGGAATAAGTTTGCTCTAGGGGCAAGGCCCTCTTGGAGAACCTCTGCTAGGGAAATGCAAAAAGGAAATGTTGGGTTGGTGCCCCCACACACAGTCCCCACTGGAACACTTCCTCATGAAGCTGTGAGAAGAGGGCCACCATCCTCCAGACCCCATAATAGCGTATCTACCAGGAAATTTTACCGTGTGCCTGGAAAAGCCACAGACACTCAACGCTAGCCTGTGAAAGCAGCTGGGAGGGCTGTACCCTGCAAAGCCACAAAGGCAGAGCTGCCCAAGGCCTTGGGAATCCACCTCTTGCATCAGCATGACCGGGATGTGAGACATGGAGTCAAAGGAGATTATTTTGGAACTTTAAAGTTTAATGACTGTCCTAGTGCATTTTGGACTTGCATGGGGCCTGTAGCCCTTTCATTTTGGCCAATTTCTCCCATTTGGTATAGGGGTATTTATCCAACTCCTGTACTTCCATTGAATTTAGGAAGTAACTAACTCACTTTTGATGTCACAGGTTCATAGGTGCAAGGGATTGGCCTTGTCTCAGATTAGACTTTGGAAGGTAGACTTTGGAGTTAATGCTGAAATGAGATAAGACTTTAGGGGTACTGTTGGGAAGGCATGATTGGTTTTGAAATGTGAGGACCTAAGATCTGGGAGAGGCCAGTGGTGGAATGATATGGTTTAGCTGTGTCCCCACCAAAATCTCATTTTGAATGTACCTCCTATAATCCCCATATGTCATGGGAGGGACCCAGTGGGAGGTAATTAAATCATGGGGGTGGGTTTTTCCTGTGCTTATGAGAGTGAATAAGCTTCACGAGATCTGATGGTTTTATAAAAGGGAGTTCTCCTGCACACACACTCTTGACTGCCACCATGTAAGATGTGCCTTTGCTCCTCCTTTGCCTTCCGCCATGAGCGTGAGGCCTCCCCAGCCATGTGGAACTGTGAGTCCATTAAACCTCTTTTTCTTTATCATTTTCCATTCTTGGGTATTTCTTCATAGCTATATGAAAATGGACTAATGTCATGAGGTGCGGTGGCTCATGCCTGTAATTCTAACACTGTGGGAGGCTGAGGCGGGTGGATCACGAGGTCAGGAGTTCAAGACCATCCTGGCTAAGATGGTGAAACTCTGTCTCTACTAAAAATACAAAAAATTAGCCTGGCGTGGTGGGGGGTGCCTGTAATCCCAGGTACTTGGGAGGCTGAGGCAGAGAATTACTTGAACCCGGGAGGCAGAGGTTGCAGTGAGATGAGATCATACCACTGTACTCCAGCCTGAGTGACAGAGTGAGAATTCATCTCAAAAAAAAAAAAAAAAAAAGAAAAGAAAATGGACTAATACTGCATGACAATAGCATGGGAGTTAGCTGAATGTCTCTAGATTCGGACTTTGGACAAGAGTAGGATCACAGGAGGGCCAAAAGGCTTGAACAATAGTCAGCCTGGACTGGAAATATGCACACCACTGCCATACCTAGAGCCAAGGGAGAGCAGTAGAAAGAGCTTATATGGAGTCCTGTCAGCAGAGATGCCTACCCTGACCAAACTGATAGAATCAAAATTACAAGTTACATCAGTAATGAATAGCAACAAGTACCCAGGGATCACCAGTCACACTCCAGGAGTCATTAGCCTACACAATGGCAAACTACACCTAAAGCAGTTTTGAGTCCCTCTTCATCTGATTGCATGTGTATAATAAGACCCCTTATACCAGCAGATACTACCCTGAAGTGAAGAAGGGACAAAGGAAGAGATCTGAAAATTTGGTTATTTATGCCAAAGAAACAAATCTCAAGGTGTTTGCTCAAAATATGAAATTTAACTGAAATAACCAGGTCCAACCCCCTCACAAATTAGCTTTGATATTTCTCCTCCTTCTTATCCAATACTGGTATGAGGGGCAGGAGTTACCTAGGAGGACAGTATATCATTTTTTGGGATTAAATAACTATTTTTCTGCAAACATCAGTGTATCATGCATAATTTTGTAATTTCAGAACACTAGACATTTCATGTAAAGCTACATGTCACATATGTACTTTAAAGTATATGCATGTTTAAACTTGTTCAGACTCAACCATATATTAAATTTACTCTTGGTTCTGTCAGCTCATTGACTTGACATTGATCTGATTTGATTATATTTAGATAGATGATATCAGCTCTAATATTGAGGAAGTAGACAGTGCAAAGTAATTAGTCACAAAGCTCTTTTGTAAGCCTCCAATATAATGAACTCTGGGCAAATTAGCTTGTAAGCATAATATCTCCCATTTTAATTTGATTTCTGAGCTCCAGAATTAGGAAGGCCATCAGTAAGATCCGTTGTTATTCTGCCCAATATAATTAGAGGGTCAGCAATTTGGTCTTGCCTTGATGACAAAACAGTTATCTATGGCATCCCCTTTCCCATTTAGGAAAAATAAAAGCCTGTGCTTACTTAGGTTTCTTTTCTAATTAAGTAGAGTGAGTCCTGGTTTCACAGGGATGGAGCGAGCAAAACATGTCAGAACTGAAGCTCAGTGTGAGTATAAAGAATATCTGAGGCAGGAGGAATCACAACCGTAGCAATCAAGATTCTCCTGCTCTCAAGTTATTACCCTTTGTTCTTTGTATAAGCTGTTGGGCTTTTTATCTCCAGCTGGTGTGGCTGCTGCTCTCTCCTCCCATCTGGCCTGTGTTTGCACTCTGAACTCCCCAACTCTCTTGGTATCTGTCTGGCTATTTCACAATTTCCCAATCCCTCAGTTGCCCAAGTTGGGAGTTTTTCAATGAAACTTTTCTAGAAAAATCTAAAACAAAAACACAAAAACAAAATTAATGTAAAAGGTTATAGCACTTAATAAACAGACAGGTTTATGGAGCACAGAATTCTTAACCTAAAGCAGACTGAAATCCAGTCAAGCTCTGCTTCCATGGTACAATTTGCCAAGTACGTGAATCACTATTTTCTCTTTTGTTCTTAACCTTACCTGCCTCAGTTACAGGACAAGCCCTTCTTCAAAATAAAGTCATCTTACACCTTTTTTAGAACAGGTGAATTTATCAGTTCTAACCAAAACCAATTTATTAGAATCAGAGTTCTGAGTGCTGGAAAAACAGAAGTGCAGATGTTTGTTGTGGCAAATTTAGCTGTGTGACTTTGAGCAAATTGCTTAACCTTGCTGATGTGTTTTAATCTATGTAATGGGAATCACTATAACAACTTCACAAAATAGTTCTGAGGAATAGTAAAATAATAAAATAGGGTAAGCATTAGTATGGTGCCTAACAACTAATAAAATTTCAACAAATGATAACTTTTGATTATTTATTTTTAGTGTTATTCTTAATCTTCTGCACAATAAATTCTCTTCAGGATTTTCATTCTTTCCAAAGATTCTCTGATGAATATTTACAGCTATAAATCAGGCCGGGCATGGTGGTTCACGCCTGTAATCCCAGCACTTTGGGAGGCAGAGGTGGGTGGATCATGAGGTCAAGAGATGGAGACCATCCTGGCCAACATGGTGAAATCCCATCTCTACTACAAATACAAAAATTAGCTGGGCATTGTGGCGCGCACCTGTAGTCCCAGTTAACTCAGGAAGCTGAGGCAGGAGAATCACTTGAATCTGGGAGGCGGAGGTTGCAGGGAGCCAAGATTGTGCCACTGCACTCCAGCCTGGTGACAGAGTGAGACTCCGTCTCCAAACAAAACAAAAAACCAGTTTCACTATTGTTTTGGATAAATATGTATGTCTAGTAAGCCCTCTTATGGCCGTGTGTCCTTCTGGGTCATTAGGTTACTAGAAAGACTCACTGGTCTCACCAACTGATCAATACATCTCTTCTTTACACATTGCATTGGCCCTCCCATAAAGTTTCTTCTTTGAACATTCAGAATTGAGTACAAAATGATTAGTCATCTTTTTATCTACTAAGTTTTGCAACCCTGAGATGATTTTTAAAGTAGTCGAAAATTATCTGATGCTCCTTTCATTGAAAGATAAGATTTATGTCCTTTCCTTTTTAATCTGTACAGACTTGTTTTTGCTTCTATCGATAGAGTGTAACCAAAAACTCTTTGTGACTTCTGAGGTCTGAGGCTAGCAGATATAAAGCCATGCAGCTTTTGTTCTGTCTCATGGATCCCTGAGCTTCCATAATGGAATTTCAACTACTGTGAGGCAACCATGCTGTGGGGAAGCCCAAACCATATACAAAGACCATTTATAGATTTAGAAGACTGTCTTAGGCAAGCTCAGCCTAGGAGTCATCCCAGCCTAGGTGTCAGATCTGTGAATGAGTCTGCTCCAGATGAGTTAAGTGTCCGGCCAATCAGTCATATCCAACTATTTGAGTCTTCTCAGCTGAGGCTCCAGTCAATGGAGAACAGAGTCAAGCCATAATCCTGTGCCTTGTCCAGACTCCTGAACAACAGAATCTGTGAGTGTAATAAAATGGTTTCTATTTTATGCCACTAAGTAATGAGTAGTTTGTTATACAGTAATTTATATCTAGAACAGTCTTAGAATTTAAGCAGATTTCCTGGGGCAAGAGACATAGCTGAGTAGCTTTTAGGTAAGGGTTTTTCAAAGAAATCTATTCAGATGGAGCAAAGGAGGGCTGGTAGTGACCAGTGAGACCAAATGAACTGCTTCACAGGAACTTGGTATATTAGTCTGTTCTCACATTGCTATAAAGAACTACCTGAGACTGGGTAATTTATGAAGAAAAGAGGTTTAATTGACTCACAGTTCTGCAGGCTGTGCAGTAAGCATGGCTGGGGAGGCCTCAGGATATTTACAATCATGTTGAAAGTTGAAGGGGAAGCAAGCAAATATTCACATGGCCGGCAGGTGAGAGAGCAAATGGGGGAGTGCTACACACTTTTAAACAACCAGATCTCATGAGAACAGCAAGGGAGAAATCTTCCCCCCATGATCCAATCACCTCCCACCAGGTCCCTCCCCCAGCACTGGGGATTATAATTCAACATGAGATTTGAATGGGGACACAGAGCCAAACCATATTATTCCTCCCATGACCCCTCCCACATCTCAAGTCCTTCTCAGATTTCAAAATCAATCATGCCTTTCCAACAGTTCCCCAAAGTCTACAGTCCCCCAAAATCTTAACTTATTCCAACATCAACTGAAAAATATAAGTCCAAAGTCTCATCTGAGGCAAGCAAGTCCTTTCTTCCTATGAGACTGCAAAATAAAAAATAAGTTAGTTACTTCCAAGATACAATGAGGGTTCAGGCAATGGGATATGGTCCTATTCCACAAGGGAGAAATTGGCCAAAAAGAAGGGGATAAGCCCCATTCAAATACAAAACCCAGTAGGGCAGCTATTAAATCTTAAAGCTCCAAAATAATGTTCTTTAACTCCATGTCTTACATGGTACCATGCTGTTTTGGTTACTCTAGCCTTGTAGTATAGTTTGAAGCCAGGGAGCATGAAGCCTCCAGCTTTGTTCTTTTTGCTTAGGATTATCTTGGCTATCTGGGCTCTTTTTTGGTTCCATATGAAATTTGAAGTGGTTTTTTTTTTTTTTTTAATTCTATGAAGAAAGTGAATGGTAGTTTGATGGGAATAGCATTGAATCTATAAATTCATTTGGGCAGTATGGCCATTTTCACAAAATTGATTCTTCCTATCCATAAGCAAGGAGTGTTTTCCCATTTGTTTGTGTCCTCCCTTATTTCCTTGAGCAGTGGTTTGTAGTTCTCTTTGAAGAGATCCTTCACGTCCCTTGTAAGCTGTATTTCTAGGTATTTTATTCTCCTTGTAGCAATTATAAATGGGAGTTCATTCATGATTTGGCTCTTTCATTGTCTATTGTTGGTGTGTAGGAATGCTTGGGATTGTTGCACATTGATTTTGTATCCTGAGACTTTGCTGAAGTTGCTTATCAGCTTAAGGAGTTTTGGGGCTGAGACACTGGGGTTTTCTAAGGATAGAATAATGTCATCTGCAAACAGAGATAATTTGTCTTCCTCTCTTCCTGTTTGAATACCTTTCATTTCTCTCTCTTGCCTGATTGCCCTGGCCAGAACTTCTAATACTATGTGGAATAGGAGTAGTGAGAGAAGGCATCCTTGTCTTGTGCCGGTTTTCAAAGGGAATACTTCCAGCTTTTGCCCATTCAGTATCATATTGGCTGTGGGTTTGTCATAAATAGCCCTTATTATTTTGAGATACATCCCATCAATACTTAATTTATTGAGAGTTTTTAGGATGAAGGGCTGTTGAATTTTGTCAAAGGCCTTTTCTGCATGTATTGAGATAATCATGTGGTTTTTGTCTTTGGTTTTGTTTGTATGCTGGATTACGTTTATTGATTTGCATATGTTGAACCCACCTTGCATCCCAGGGATGAAGCCGACTTGTTCATTGGGGATAAGCTTTTTGATGTGCTGCTGGATTCGGTTTGCCAGTATTTTGTTGAAGATTTTTGCACTGATGTCATCAGGGATATTGGCCTGAAGTTTTCTTTTTTCATTGACTCTGCCAGGTTTTGGTATCAGGATGATGCTGGCCTCATAAAATGAATTAGGGAGGAGTCCCTCTTTTTCTATTGTTTGGAATAGTTTCAGAAGAAATAGTACCACCTACTCTTTGTACCTCTGGTAGAATTCAGCTGGAATCCATCTGGTCCTGGGTTTTTTTTTGTTGGTAGGCTACTAATTACTGCCTCAATTTCAGAACTTGTTATTGATCTATTCAGGGATTCAGTTTCTTCCTGGTTTAGTCTTGGGAGGTGTATGTGTCCAGGAATTCATCCCTTTTTTCTAGATTTTCTAGTATATTTGCATGGAGGTGTTTACAGTATTCTCTGGTGGTATTTTTATTTCTGTGGGATCAGTGGTGATATCCCCTTTATCATTTTTTTATTGGGTCTATTTGATTCTTCTGTTTTTCTTTATTAGTCTAGCTAGTGGTCTATTTTGAAGAGTTCTTCATGCCTCTATCTCTTTCAGTTCTGCTCTGATCTTACTCATTTCTTCTCTTCTGCTAGCTTTTGAATTTGTTTGCTCTTGTTTCTCTAGTTCTTTTAATTGTGATATCAGGGTGTTGATTTTAGATCTTTCCAGCTTTCTGATGGGCATTTAGTGCTATAAATTTCCCTCATAACACTGCTTTAGCTGTGCCCTAGAGATTCTGGTACATTGTCTATTTGTTCTCATTGGTTTCAAAGAACTTCTTGATTCCTGCCTTAATTTCATTATTTATGCAGGAGTCATTCAGGAGCAAGTTGTTCAATTTCCATGTAGTTGTGTGGTTCTGAGTGAGTTTCTTAATCCCGAGTTCTAATTTGATTGCACTGTGGTCTGAGAGACAGTTTGTTATGATTTCCGTTCTTTTGCATTTGCTGAGTGTTTTATTTCCAATTATGTGGTCAATTTTAAAATAAGTGCCATGTGGCACTGAGAAGACTGTATATTCTATTGACTTGGGGTGGAGAATTATATAGATGTCTATTAGGTCCACTTGATCCAGAGCTGAGTTCAAGTCCTCAATATACCTGTTGATTTTCTATCTCACTGATCTGTCTAATATTGAAAAGTGGGGTGTTAAAATCTCCCACTGTTATTGTGTGGGAGTCTAAGTGTATTTGTAAGTCTCTAAGAACTTGTTTTATGAATCTGGGTTCTCCTGTATTGGGCAGCTACATATTTCGGATAGTTAGCTCTTCTCATTGTATTGATCCCTTTACCATTATGTAATGCCCTTCTTTGTCTTTTTTGATCTTTGTTGGTTTAACATCTGTTTTATCAGAGACTAGGATTTCAACCCCTGCTTTTTTTTTTTTTTTTCCTATTTGCTTGGTAAATATTCCTCCATCCCTTTATTCCTTTATTTTTAGCCTACGTGTATCTTTGCACATGAGATGGGTCTCCTGAATACAGCACACCAAGGGGTCTTGACTCTTTATCCAATTTGCCAGGCTGTGTTTTTTAATTGGGGCATTTAGTCCCTTTACATTTAAGGTTAATTTTTATGTGTGAATTTGATCCTGTCATCATGATGCTAGCTTGTTATTTTGCACAATTAGTTGATGCAATTTCTTTATAGCATCATTGGTCTTTATATTTTGGTGTGTTTGTGCAGTGGCTGGTACCAGTTTTTCCTTTCCATATGCAGTGCTTCCTTCAGGATCTCTTGCAAGGCAGGCCTGGCGGTGATACAAAATCCCTCAGCATTTGCTTGTCTGGAAAGGATTTTATTTCTCCTTCAGTTATGAAGCTTAGTTTGGCTGGATATGAAATTCTGGGTTGAAAATTATTTTCTTTAAGAATGTTGAATATTAGCCCCCACTCTCTTCTGGCTTGAAGGGTTTCCACTGAGAGGTCTGCTGTTATTCTGATGGGCTTCCCTTTGTAGGTGACTTGGCCTTTCTCTCTGGTTGCCCTTAACATTTTTTCCTTCATGTCAACCTTGGAAAATCTGATGTTTATGTGTTTTGGGGTTGATTTTCTGATTGAGTATCTTAGTGGCATTCTCTGTATTTCCTAAATTTGAATGTTGTCCTGTCTTTCTGGGTTGGGAAAGTTCTCCTGGATAATATCCTGAAATGTGTTTTCCAACTTGGTTCCATTCTCCCTCTCACTTTCAGGTACACCAATCAATCATAGGTTTGGTCTTTTTACATAGTATTTACAAATACATAGTATATACATATTTCTTGGGGGCTTTGTTCAATCATTTTCATTCTTTTTTCTCTAATCTTGTCTGCACACCTTATTTCAGCAAGGTAGTCTTTAATCTCTGAATTCCTTTATTTTGTTTGATAGATTCAGCCATTGATACTTGTGTATGCTTCATGAAGTTCTTGTGCTGTGTTTTTCAGCTGCATTGGGTCATTTATGTTCTCTCTAAACTGGTTATTCTAATTAGCAGTTCCTGTAACCTTTTATCAAGTTCTTAGCTTCCTTGCATTGAGTTCGAACATGTTCCTTTAGCTCAGAAGAGTTTGTTATTACCCACCTTCTGAGGCCTACTTCTGTCAATTCATCAATCTCATCCAGTTTTGTGCCCTTGCTGGATAGGAATTGTGATTATTTGGAGGAGAAAAGGCATTCTGGCTTTTGGAATTTTCGGCATTTTTCCACTGGTTTTCCCTCATCTTCCTGAATTTATCTAACTTTGATCTTTGAGGCTGATGACTTTTGGATGGGGTATTTGTGGGGGATCTTTTTTGTTGGTGTTGTTTTTGTTGTTGCTTTCTGTTTGTTTGTTTTTCTTCTAACACTCAGGCCCCTCTTCTGCAGGTCTCCTGCAGTTTGCTGGAGGTCCATTCCAGACCATGTATGCCTGGAGGCTGTAGAATAGCAAAGAGTGCTGCTTTCCCCTTCCTCTGGGAGCTTCATCCCAGAGGGGCACCGGCCTGATTCAAGCTGGAGCTCTCCTGTATGAAGTATCTGTCGACCCCTGTTGGGAGGTCTCTCCTAGTCAAGAGGCACAGGGGCCTGGGGACCCACTTGAGGAGGCACTCTGTCCCTTAGCAGACCTAGTGCACTGTGCTGGGAGAATCCCCCTTGTCAGGGCCTGCCACTCTCTCTTCAGAGCCGGCAGGCAGGAAAGATTAAGTCCGCTGAAGCTGCAACCACAGCTGCCCCTCCCACCAGGTGCTCTGTCCCAGGGAGATGAGAGTTTTATCTGTAAGTCCCTGACTGGGACTGCTGCATTTCCTATGAAATGGCCTGCCCAAGTAAGGAGGAATCTAGAGAAGCAAACTGGCCACAGCCACTTTGCTGTGCTCTGGTGAATTCTGCCCAGTCCAAACCTCCCAGTCTCCTTAGCATTATCTGGGGAAAACTGCCTACTGAAGCCTCAGTAATGGTGGATGCTCCTGCTCTCACCAATCTCGATTGTCCCAGATCACCTCCAGACTGCTGTGCTGAGAGTGAGAATTTCAAGCCAGTGGTTCTTACCTTGCTGGGCTCCATGGGAGTGGGACCCTCTGAGTGAGACTGCTGGCTCCATGGCCCTTTTCCAGGGAAGCGGATTGTTGTTCTGTCTTGCTGGAGTTCCAGGAACCACTGGAGTCTGAAAAAAGCTCCTGCAGCTGGCTCCATGCCTGCCCAAACAGCTGCCCAGTTTTGTGCTTGAAACAAGAGCCCTGGTGGTGTAGACTCATGAGGGAATCTCCTGATCTGCACATTGCAAAAATCTGTGGGAAAAGTATAGTACCCAGGACAGGTAGCACAGCCCCTCACTGCTTGCCTTGGCTAGGGAAGGGAGGTCCTTTGGCTCCTTGCACTTCCTGGGTGAAGTGACACCCCACCCTGCTTCTGCTTGTGCTCCGTGGGTTGCACCCACTTCCTAACCAGTCCCATTGAGATGAACTGGGTACCTCTGTTGGAAATGTAGAGATCACCCACCTTCTGCATTGGTCTTACTGGGAGCTGCAGAACGGAGCTGTTTCTATTCTCTTCCTTACTCCTGAAGAACAGCTTTGCCCAGTGTAGTATCTTGGGTGCAGCTTTTTTTTTTTTTTTTTTTTTCATTCAGCCCTTTGAATATATAATTTTATTCTCTGCTGGCTTTCAAGGTTTCTGCTAATAGATACACTGATAACCATATGAAGACTATCTTGTATGTGATGAGTCTCTTTTCTCTTGCTGCTTTCAAGATTTCCTCCTTGTCTTTGACTTTGGACAATTTGACTATGTGTCTCTGAGTATTCCTCTATTGGTTGATCTTGCTTGGGATTCTCTGAGCTTCTTGAATTCCTTCTAATATTTGGAAAGTTTTCAGCCAGTGTTTATTTCAATAAGCTTTCTATTCCTTCTTCTCTCTTCTTTTACTAGAATACTCATAATGCCTGTATTTGCATGCATGGTGGTGTTTCATATGTCCTTATCCTTTCTTTACTCTTTTCCTCCTTTCCCTCTTTTTGTTCCTCGAATTATTTAGTTTCAAATGACCTGTCTTTGAGATCACTAATTCCTTCTTTTGTATAATTGAGGCTGCTCTTGAAGGTTTGTATTGAATTTTTTCATTTCTGCCATTTTCTTCTTCAGCTCCAGAATTTCTATTTGATTT
This sequence comes from Homo sapiens, assembly GCF_000001405.40. Taxonomy (NCBI): domain Eukaryota; kingdom Metazoa; phylum Chordata; class Mammalia; order Primates; family Hominidae; genus Homo; species Homo sapiens. The sequence goes on along the minus strand of NC_000011.10, from coordinate 39,809,070 downwards.
TTTAATATTATTTTTATTTATTTATTAAATTTTCATTTGGTTCATGCATTGTTTTCCTAATTTTTATTTATTGTTCTCTTGCATCTCATTGAGCTTCAAGATGGTTATCTTGAATTTCTTTTCAAGAAATTCATAGATCTCTCTCACTTAGGAGTTGATTGCTGGAGTGTTAGTTTCCTTTGGTAGTGTCATGATGGCTTGATACTTTGTTATCTGTAAAACTCGCATTGGTATTACTTGTGTATATGAAAGAGCAAACATTTCTTCCCATCTTTATGGACTAATTTTGGTTGGTAAAGACCTTCTCCTGTTAGGTACCCACGTTGTGATGGTGTTTGCAATTGCAGTTGAGTGGGGTTGAAGCTGGGTCACATGGTTGCTGCTGGGTCCTCAGTGGGATCTGCTGGTGGCAGGCCTATTACCAGGGTCTCAAGTGAGCATCGTTCCTGTCTAATCCCTAAGTAGATTGAATTACCTTCAGTAACTTGGTCAGTAGGGCATATAGTGGGATAAGTGTCAACTTCAGGGTCCTGAATGTTGACCCTGGTAATGGCATGCCTATTACCAGGTGCATGAACAGATATGGCTTCCTCTAGATCCTGGGAAGAACTCCCATTGGGTTATTGTGTGGGTTTCTGGGTGGGTATTACTAGCCCCAGACTGCAAATGAGAGGGACTAGAACTGAGTCAAAAGCCGGCTTCAGCTACAGCTTATATTTGGATCTGCAGGCTTCCTCTGGGGGCATGGACTAGTGTATTTCTCTCTGGGCATCTGGGCCAGGAAAACATGTCTCAGTCCATAGATGAGAGGGGCTGGAGCTAAGTTATCCAACTGTTTCATGACCTACTGTGGGACTAAGGTTGTTGGGAGTGTGCACAGGGATACAGATTGGCATATCTCCCTTCAGGTCCCTGGTGTGCAGAACTACTCTCAGAGGGCAGCTGAGAAAGGCCATAGTTGAATAACAGAAATGTTTTGCCATCTGCTGGCATCAAGGTCAGCAAATATGTTTCAGCAGCACAGACAAGTGTATCTCTCAGAAAGTCCCTGTGTGTACAGAACTACTAAGTAGGGCTGGAGCCAAGTTACTGAACCATTTCGGGGTTCTCCACAGTCAGGACTGAGATAGGCAGGTGTGACATTTGAGGCACAAGTGGGCCTGACTTATTTTGGGTCTCTTAGTAGATAGTTCTTTTAGTAGGGCCAATGCCAAATGTGACTATAGCCAAATACACAGGGGAACAGGGCCATTTTTGGGTCTGGAGCCAGGACTGTGATTGGCATGCATGCCACCTGGGTAATGATATGTTCTATTAAAATGGCCCTTCTAGACCTTGGGCTCCATCAGGGGTTCACAACCTTATACCTGAATCCCAAATCACCTACAAAGATATTTTTGTCATGGATGGCTGAAAATCATTGTTGCTGTGGAAAGATACCTGGAGAGATCTCCTATTCTGCCATCTAGCTGACATCACTGTCCCCAGAAAGATTTTTATTGAACTTCCTTGTTTAATTCATAGTCTTCTATTGATACTTTTGAAACCAGAATTCTGCAAAACTATCAAACTATTCACTTGTGTGTGTCTGTGCTGTCTGTTTAGCCTAAATTTGAAAACCTAGGGTTGGGAGACAGTATGAGTGCTAGAATTATTATTAACATCTAAACAAAGGTCTGAGAACATTTCATAAACTGTTTGAAGAATGTTTTTTCACACATTCAAAATGAAGGAAAGATAAAAGCTAAAACTCATTGGATTGTCAGGCCTTGAAGCTTTCTTGTCTCATAAAAGTAAGGAACTTGGTTCCTTATTCTGGCAGTTTTCAGAAGAAAGTTCATAGGTAACACTTTGAAGTATTGTTACAGACAATATTTGTATTTGGTGGTTGCATCAAAATATAATTTCTGAGTACATATCTGACATACTACAGAAGATCATCCCCGTGGTGTTTTGGGTTCTCTTTGTTGCATAAATGTATAAAAGAGGGCATAGAATTTATCTTACTACATGCCTGTATTACTTTCTTAGGTTTGGCATTAGAAAATTCTACAAACTAGGTAACATAAAACATAAGAAATTTATTGTTTTACAGTTTTGGAGGCTAGAAGTAAAGAAGTCAAGGTGTTGTAAGGGGAGTGCTGTCACTAAAACAGGTAAGGGGAAATAGTTTTTTGCTTATTCCTAGCCGCTAGTGGTTTTCCAGCAATCCTTGGCATTTCCTGGCTTGACTTACAGCTACCAGTCTCAGCCTCCATTGTCATATGACACTCTCCTCTTGTGTGTCTGTGTCTCTGTGTCTCTTCTACTCTTATTTTAGAGACAATAGTTATATTGGATTGGAGACCTTCCTTACTCCCATATTACCTCATCTCAACATAGCTTCAATAAACTCTTACTAAATAAGAGCACATTCTCCGGTACTAGATGTTAGGACTTCAAGAGAACTTTTAAGAGACACAATTCAACCCATAATAGTCCCCTAAACATAATTTTAAATTTCATCTTTAGCATTCAATTTTAGGTCACATTTCCTTCACATTTCCCAAATTGAAATGGTTAGAAGAAATTAGAGATATGTACATTTATGTACTGCCTAGTATTTCCAGCAGATATAATGATTTTAACATCTATGTATCTTGGAAGCTCTTTTCTAGCATCCCTCCTAATTTATATATAATTTTGTCTTTCTTTCTCCTTCATAAAAGGGCAAACAATGCAAGAATACATCCCCAAATGATTGAGTTTATCTGCAAATTGCTTCCAGGTGCTCATATCACTTTCTCTCCATCTTCAAACTAAAGGAAAAAAAATTCAATGTCACTGAAGAGCAAAATCATAAGGAATTCAAATGTTTTGTGTTTTTTCTCATTTTCCATCTGACATATTGCTTGTTTATAATTCTCCAGTTTATATTTACTTATGCTTACCAGTTTATACCACTAGTTTAGTGTGAGTGAGATTCTTGTTCATTTTTTAATTTTCCAGTTGACAACATACTACATGGATCACAATACGCACTAAATAAGTGCTGATCGACTTCACCAATGAATTACCAAGTATTTAAATTCACTTCAGGGTACCTAAAGTACGACATGATGTAAGGATTTATCAGTGAGGAACAGATTAGAAGCATTTGTCATAAATACGTGAAAGAAGCAGTTTAAAATCAGAGGGCTTCTGCTTATATTCTATTTTCTTATTGTACATGTAGATGGTAATTCTAAGAAGTATGAAATTTACTTTTTTATAAAATCTATATATGATGTTTAATTTACTTGACATTCCCTCACCTCATTCATTTTAAGAAATGCAAAGATAAATTTGACAGCAGCTAAAGCATCATCTAGACACATAAAGCAAATTGTTTCTTTTCCTGGTGTTCCACATTTCATGAGATCACAACAAGAACAAAGACAAAAATAAACTGGCTAGAAATAAATCCATATAACTCCAATGTCCTGTAATTTAAATATGGGCCATAAAATGTATTATAAATGGTATATCCATGCATGGATTTGTGTTGTCTATGTTTGGAGTCTCCAATAATAGATAGTGTTACTTAGCTTTAGTGAAAATAAAAAAAATCAATTTAATGGGATCTGAATTAATGAAATTATATTATTACTTCCCTATTTTAATAAAGAGTTTTTCAGTTCATCAGATGAACATTTAGCATGTTGGATGAGGTAATGAAACTACATGAATGATATTCACTGCTTTCAATTGTATATTATGATTTTTTTAGTTGTACATAATTGAAACTCAATCCAACTAGTTTTTGCCAAGAAAAGAATTTTCAGAAAACTATACAATCAGGGAATGGCACTGGCCAATGGAATGGAGGAAAAAAAGGCCAAACAATGTCATTAGGCTTTGTTGTCTCTGTTTCTCTGTCTACCTGTATTCCTGAGTCTCCCTGGCCATCTTTGTTTCTTGTTCTTTGTTCTTGTGAGCTTCAGAAATATGGAAAATAACAAAATAAACAAATTGGTCTCTGTGGCCCGATAATGCTTTAGCTGCTGTCAAATTCATCTTTACATTCATTATAAGGAGCGTAATTGGCTATATTAAACATAGGTGTTATGTTAAACATTATATATTGAGTTTATAAAGAAGTAATATTTATTTAATACTCCTTAGAAGTACCATCCATATCTATAATAGGATCATGGAATAGAAGCAGAGGTCCTCTGAATTTAAACTGCTTTTTATAATATATTTAGGATGAATACTTCTGATTTGTTCCTTGCCAGTATGTTTTTATATAGCTATGTGATACTTCAGGTATCCTCAAGTATTTTGGGAATTTAAAAGTGGTAGTGGGATAATATCCAGAGAATGTATGCATCTTTACAATATAGGAATGCTTGAGGAAAAAATATTATCTCAATTTCATGCTTCATATAAAATCTTAGAGAAGTACTCTGATTTGTTTAGCTTTATAGGCTTGTCACTTGACTGATCACTAAGGACTGTAGAAATATTGAATATAACAAATTTTGCATCTTGAATCAAGTGTGAACTCTTGTATCAGAGTATTTGAGAACTGTGATCAGTAATAAACCAGAGCTTCATGGAGTAACAGTTTGAGGAAGTGTCCTAAAGGGGAAGTAGCAGGTAAAAGAAATGATGCATCCAAAAATACAGCATATGTTCTTCACAGATAACTAGTTAAATTGATAAATATATCACAGATCTGAAAACTTTATTTCAACTTTAAAATTACAATGAATGAGAATTGTCAGAATGCTGTCAGTATGCATGTGATCAAATACTATTGTGAGTGACAGCTGAGATACAGATGAAGTAATTTCGTACTTCATATATTTATCTCTTCATTCAGGCATAGTTTATTTGCTCCTACCAAGTAGTTGAGGATGGTCCTAATCTCAGCTTAGTTTATTTATTTTACACCAATTTTTTATTTTAAAAAAATTTGAACCTATAGAGTAGTGAAAAGAATGTTACAGCTAACACCCACTGATATGGTTTGGCTGTGTCCCCACCCAAAACTCATGTTGAACTGTAATCCCCATAATCCCCACATGTTTTATGGAAAGAAATCTGATGGGAAGTAATTGAATCAAGTGGGGGGGCAGTTTCCGCCATGCTGTTCTCATGACATTGAGTCAATTTTCATGAGATCTGGTGGTTTTATAAGGTGACTCTTCACCCTTTGCTCGGCACTTCTCCTTCCTGCCACCTTGCGAAGAAGGTGCTTTGCTTTCCCTTTGCCTTCTACCATGATTGTAAGTTTCCAGAGGCCTACCCAGCCATGCAGAACTGTGAGTCAATTAAACCCTTTTCCTTTATAAATTACCCAATCTCAGCCAGTTCTTTATAGCCATATGAAAATGGACTGATACACCTACATACATGGGTAAACAACTGTTAACATTCACTCTCTTTTTCTCTCTCCTTAACCTTTCAAAAATAAACTGAGATATTATGATGTTTTATTGCAAAACACTTTAGTGAGGATTTCATAAGAATAAGGATATTTGCCTCTATGACCACAGCACTACTTTTTTGTCTAGTAAAAAGTAACATTATGTTCTCATAGAAGTAGAGAGTAGAATAGTGGTTACCAGATGCTGGGGAGAGAAGATGAAAGAGGGATGGACAGAAGTTGGTCAATAGACACAAAGTTACAGTTAAACTGGAGGAATACATTCTGGAGTTCTATAACACAGTAGGGTAAGTATAACTAACAACAACGTATTGTATATTTTAAGATATCTAGAAAAGATCTTGAAAGTTACCACAACAAGGAAATAAAAAAGGTTTGAGATGTTGGATATGCTAACTACACTGATGTGAACATTATATACTGTATACATGTATGGAAATATCACACTCTACCCAGTAAATGTGCCATTAATATATGTCTATTATAAGCAAAAAAGAAAAAAGGAACATTAACTCAATAATACAATTTAATACATAGTCCATATTTAGTGTTTCCAAAAATTTACCTATTATTTTAAAATCTGAAATCTAATCAGAGTTAATGCATTTGTATGTTTTATTAGGTATTTTAAATCTAGATATCTCTCATCATTTTTTTGGTTTTACTACATCTAATTTTTTATGGAGTTAATGCCAGTTATCTTGCAGGACATCTTACATTCTCTATTTATTAATTTGTTTCATCACTACTAGATTCAGATTAAAACTTTTTGAAAAGAATATTACAACAATGTTTTAGTCCATTTGTGATGCTACAACAAAAACCCACAGCTGAGCAGTTTATTTTAAAGAAGTAGACATTTACTTCTTAGAGTTCTGGAGGCTGTGAAGTCCAAGATCAAGGCGTAGGCATTTGTTGTCTTGTGAAAACTCAGTCTCTGCTTCCAAGATGGTACCGTGTTGCTACATCCCCTGGAGGACAAAAATGCTATGTTCTCACATGGTGGAAGGGATGGATGGGAAAAAAAAAAAGGACAAACTGTCTCTAAAACCTCTTTTATAAGGATATGAACCCATTCATAAGGGCAGGGCCCTCATGATTTAATTGCTTCCCCAAAGAATCCACCTCTTAATGCAACCACAGCAGGGATTAAGTTTCAACATGAATTTTGGAGAGAGCACATTGAAACCATAGCAGAGGGTAATGCCTGTATATTTTATTGCATCAATTCTGGACACATGTAACATCTAGCCTCCCAATATTCATGATGTCAAGTTTGATCACTTAATTAGGATGATGGCCATAGATATTGTCACAGTGGTCTTTTTTTTTTTTCTTTTCGGAAAGTAGTTCTGTGGACCTTGAGTTCTTCAATATGATTTTCTATTATGTCTTTCTTTTCTTTTTTCTTTTCTTTCCTTTTTTCTTTTTTTGAGACACAGTCTCACTCTGTCGCCTGGGCTGGAGTGCAGTGGTGTGATCTCGGCTCACTGCAAACTCTGCCTTCCAGGTTCACGTGATTCTCTTGCCTCAGCCTCCTGAGTTGCTGGGATTACAGGCACATACCACCACACCTGGCAAATTTTTTGTAATTTTAGTAGAGATGGGGTTTCACTCTGTTGGCCAGACCGGTCTCGAACTCCTGACCTCGTGATCCACCTGCCTTGGCCTCCCAAAGTGCTGGGAGTACAGGTGTGAACCACCAAGCCTGGCCAATTTTTTTTTTATTTCTTCTACATTTATTAGCTAAACTTTTTTGTAAAGGAGATGTTTCTATTTTAATCTCTCTCTGTCCCTCTCTATTATTATTATTAATATTATTATCACTATTAATCTGTGGAATGGTTTTTATTTTCTGTGTTATGACTTATTTTCCTTATGTATTACTGATTTTTTTGCTCAAAGTGTCACATATTTGGTTTATAAAAGTTTCATCTCATTAGCTACTGGGTTCTTGTTTTCAGGAACAAGGTATTCTAAACTCACCTTATATTTTCTCTCCCTAACCTAGAATTATCCACTTTGCCAAAGAGCCTGATTTCTTTATTCTTATTTTTTAATGGAATGATATTTAGAAATAACAATCTGGGGGCTAGATATGTTTATTGATACTCAAGTGTGTCATAGTTTCCAAGCCATTTCAGTGGATAGATATAGAAAACATATTTTTACAAACTATAAATACATATTGGTATATTCATTCTCATTTGATTTTACAGCATTTTTTGTTCTCACCTCCATTCCACATTTGTGTTTACCTTCTTAATCAGTGAAAAGTTTGGTTTCCAAAAGTATTTGTATATGTACTCATTGGCTTTATTCTGCAAAACATAAAATATAATTTTGAATCACACCACAAATTTCATTACATATCAAAAAACCTAGAAATCAATCTCAATATTTCTTTTAGACCTTTCTGAAGTTAGAACATATTTCTTGAGATGTAAATTGTTGAACAGTTATACAGGATAATTATTTGATCTGTGTTTTCATATTTCCAATTTGCTATAAAATTAAGTTTTATAATTTCTATTTGTAGTCAATTCGGGGATTTCGTTTTTCTTCCTGCTTTGTTCATTTTCTATTTTGAATATACAAAATATTTAAATGAGTCAATATTTAAAGCATTTTAAAAAGTGTACCCAAAAGTTACACTCTAATACCTAGTCCTTCCATCCTATGTCCATCTACTCTCTATAACTAACATATTTCATTAATTTCTGGTTTATCTTTGCTATTTCTTTTTGCAAAAATAAGCATAAACATCACACGTACACACAAGAATATACATATTTCTCTTTGAAGCAATTGTGAATGGGAGTTCACTCATGATTTGGCTCTCTGTTTGTCTGTTACTGGTGTATAAGAATGATTGTGATTTTTGCACATAGGTTTTGTATCCTGAGACTGCTGAATTTGCTTATCAGCTTAAGGAGATTTTGGGCTGAGTTGATGGGGTTTTCTCAATATACAATCATGTCATCTGCAAACAGGGACAATTTGACTTCCTCTTTTCCTAATTGAATACCCTTTATTTATTTTTCCTGCCTGATTGTCCTGGCCAGAACTTCCAACACTATGCTGAATAGGAGTGGTGAGAGAGGGCATCCCTGTCTTGTGCCAGTTTTCAAAGGGAATGCTTCCAGTTTTTGCCCATTCAGTATGATATTGACTGTGGGTTTGTCATAGATAGCTCTTATTATTTTGAGATACATCCCATCAATACCTAATTTATTGAGAGTTTTTAGCATGAAGGGCTGTTGAATTTTGTCAAAGGCCTTTTCTGCATCTATTGAGATAATCATGTGGTTTTTGTCTTTGGTTCTGTTTCTATGCTGGATTATGTTTATTGATTTTCATATGTTGAACCAGCCTTGCATCCCAGGGATGAAGTCCACTTGATCATGGTGGATAAGCTTTTTGGTGTGCTGTTGGATTCGGTTTGCCAGTATTTTATTGAGGATTTTTGCATCAATGTTCATCAGGGATATTGGTCTAAAATTCTCTTTTTTCATTGTGTCTCTGCCAGGCTTTGGTATCAGGATGATGCTGGCCTCATAAAATGAGTTAGGGAGGATTCCCTCTTTTTCTATTGATTGGAATAGTTTCAGAAGGAATGGTACCAGCTCCTCCTTGTACCTCTGGTAGAATTCAGCTGTGAATCCATCTGGTCCTGGACTTTTTTTGGTGGATAGGCTCTCAATTATTGCCTCAATTTCAGAGCCTATTATTGGTCTATGCAGGGATTCAGCTTCTTTCTGGTTTAGTCTTGGGAGTGTGTATGTGTCCAGTAATTTATCCATTTATTCTAGATTTTCTAGTTTATTTGCATAGAGGTGTTTATAGTATTATCTGATGGTAGTTTGTATTTCTGTGGGATTGGTGGTGATATCCCCTTTATCATTTTTTTATTGCGTCTATTTGATTCTTCTCTCTTTTCTTCTTTATTAATCTTGGTAGCAGTCTACCAATTTTGTTGATCTTTTCAAAAAACCAGCCCCTGGATTCATTGATTATTTGAAGTGTTTTTTGTGTCTCTATCTCCTTCAGTTCTGCTCTGATCTTAGTTATTTCTTGCCTTCTTCTAGCTTTTGAATGTGTTTGCTCTTGCTACTCTAGTTCTTTTAATTGTGATGTTAGGGTGTCAATTTTAGATCTTTCGTGCTTTCTCTTGTGGGCATTTAGTGCTATAAATTTCCCTCTACACACTGCTTTAAATGTGTCCCAGAGATTCTGGTATGTTGTGTCTTTGTTCTCATTGGTTTCAAAGAACATCTTTATTTCTGCCTTCATTTTGTTATGTACCCAGTGGTCACTCAGGAGGAGGTTGTTCAGTTTCCATGTAGTTGAGCGGTTTTGAATGAGTTTTGTAATCCTGAATCTGAATTAATCAGACTGGTCTAAGAGACAGTTTGTTATACTTTCTGTTCTTTTACATTTGCTGAGATACCTAGGAATCCAACTTACAAGGGTTGTGAAGGACCTCTTCAAGGATTTCAAGGAGAACTACAAACCACTGCTCAAGGAAATAAAAGAGGACACAAACAAATGGAAGAACATTCCATGCTCATGGGTAGGAAGAATCAATATCATGAAAATGGCCATACTGCCCAAGGTAATTTACAGATTCAATGCCATCCCCATCAAGCTACCAATGACTTTCTTCACAGAATTGGAAAAAACTACTTTAAAGTTCATATGGAACCAAAAAAGAGCCCGCATTGCCAAGTCAATCCTAAGCCAAAAGAACAAAGCTGGAGGCATCACACCCCCTGACTTCAAACTATATTACAAGGCTACAGTAACCAAAACAGCATGGTACTGGTACCAAAACAGAGATATAGACCAATGGAACAGAACAGAGCCCTCAGAAATAATACCACACATCTACAACCATCTGATCTTTGACAAACCTGACAAAAACAAGAAATGGGGAAAAGATTCCCTATTTAATAAATGGTGCTGGGAAAACTGGCTAGCCATATGTAGAAAGCTGAAACTGCGTCTCTTCCTTACACCTTATACAAAAAGTAATTCAAGATGGATTAAAGACTTCAATGTTAAACCTAAAACCATAAAAACCCTAGAAGAAAACCTAGGCAATACCATTCAGGACATAGGCATGGGCAAGGACTTCATGTCTAAAACACCAAAAGCAATGGCAACAAAAGCCAAAATTGACAAGTGGGATCTAATTAAACTAAAGAGCTTCTGCACAGCAAAAGAAACTACCATCAGAGTGAACAGGCATCCTACAGAATGAGAGGAAATGTTTGCAATCTACTCATCTGACAAAGGGCTAATATCCAGACTCTACGATGAACTCCAGCAAATTTACAAGAAAAAAACAACCCCATCAACAAGTGGGTGAAGGACATGAACAGACACTTCTCAAAAGAAGACATTTATGCAGGCAACAGAAGAAAATGCTCATCATCACTGGTCATCAGAGAAATGCAAATCAAAACCACAGTGAGATACCATCTCACACCAGTTAGAATGGCGATCATTAAAGTCAGGAAACAACAGGTGCTGGAGAGGATGTGGAGAAATAGGAACACTTTTACACTGTTAGTGGGACTGTAAACTACTTCAACCAATGTGAAAGTCAGTGTGGCGATTCCTCAGGGATCTAGAACTAGAAATACCATTTGACCCAGCCACTCCATTACTGGGTATATACTCAAAGGATTATAAATCATGCTGCTATAAAGACACATGCACGCATATGTTTATTGTGGCACTATTCACAATAGCAAAGACTTGGAACCAAGCCAAATGTCCAACAATGATAGACTGGAATAAGAAAATGTGGCACATATACACCATGGAATACTATGCAGCCATAAAAAAGAATGAGTTCATGTCCTTTGTGGGGACATGGATGAAGCTGGAAACCATCATTCTCAGCAAACTATCACAAGGACAAAAAACCAAACGCCGCATGTTCTTACTCATAGGTGAGAATTGGACAATGAGAACACTTGGACACAGGAAGGGGAACATCACACACTGGGCCTGTAATGGGGTGGGGGAAGGGGGGAGGGATAGCATTAGGAGATATACCTAATGTAAATGAAGAGTTAGTGGGTGCAGCACACCAACATGGCACATGTATACATATGTAACAAACCTTCACGTTGTGCACATGTACCCTAGAACTTCAAGTATAATAATAAAAAAAAGAATATACATATTTTATTTCCTCTTCTAGTTCACTAAAAAGTGGCCTGCTATATGCATTCTTCCATATGTTTCCTTTCTTATTTAACAATATACACTGAAAAACACTAATGTCAGTTTGTAGTGATCTTTATTTAGATTAAGTTTCACTGGACCCCTTTTTCAGAATGCACTATATCTTTTTCATCTCAGTCTCTTACAAATGGCATGCTTGTGTTTTCCAATAGTTTGCTTTTCCAAATAATTCCACAAGAAATAGGCTTGTGTATATGTTGTTTCATATTTTTGGAAGTGTAGCTTCATAATAATTTCTTAGAAGTGCAACATATTGTTCTTATAAGTTCTCATAATTGCAATTCTTATAAGGTAAATACGTTTGTAGTTTTGCTAGAAATCCATCACCTTCTCTCAATAGTGGTTGCACTATTTTGCAGTCTAAAAAACAAAGATAGATTTTCAAAGATTTACATGTTTTTCAGAAATTTACCTAAAAGTTTATTATTCTTCTAAAGTTTTTGTCAAGCTGTTACCAAAGGTAAAATAGCATCCAACTGAAGGTTTAATACAGTTCTCCTTCTATGAGTAAATTTGATTATTTTTTGACATATTTAAGGGGCATTTGCCTACTTTTTGCTGCAAAATCACATCCTTGGTAGATATTTTGGTCCTTTTCCCCTTTATTTTTTTATTTTTATTTTTTATTAATTTTAGTATTACAGAAAAGTTATACAAATAATACAAAGTATTGCTGTATACCTTTCATCCACCTTTCCCCTAACATTAATGTATCATATAACCATAGTACAACTGTTGAAACCAGTAAAAATGCTTTATCAAACTATATATCATATTCAAATTTCATCAGTTTTTCTATTAATATCTTATTTTTAACAGGATTTTATATGGATCACTTTGGTTTTCAAAGCAGTTTAAATATCAGGGATATTGATTGTTTTCCTGGAGTATAAATTTCCAATACATTCTCCCAATTTGTCATTTGTCTGTGACTTCTCTCTTGGGAACAAAATTCTTCCTTTAACTCCACTTTTCTTCTTTATGCCTGGCTATGTGTCAGCTAGTTATGATGCTTTAACTCTCTATCATTGAACTCTCAGATTTTTTCTTCATAGCATTTATCAGCAGTTTGACTTTTACATTTACTCACATTTTTGTTTGTTTGTTTTTTGCTCTCTTTCTCTCCCTTAAATTCTATAAGCCATGGTTGGAGGAGCTGTGTTTATTTACCCTTATATAGCCAACTCCTGGAAGAGTACCTGCCACGTTCTAAGTTTATCTATTCAGTTCATTGAATATATAGTCAAGAAACCATGTCAATGAAGGAACCTTTGAAGAAGTAACCGTATTGATTCAGAACAGAGAAAAGGAAACTGGAACATGCTAGGCATTTCCAAATATTAAAAAAGTGATCATGTAGAAAAATATAGATTTCCTGTATCTCACTCCAGAAACTAGCACGGACAGCAAAATTTAGCTATTACTTTTAAAATTAGAAAATGTTTTTCTAATTCCTTTTCTTCTTCTTTTTTTTCTAATTCCTTTTCTAAAATTAGAAAAAAAAGCTATCTGACATTTGAAGTATCTTCTTAACCATGCAGTAGGTGCAAAGAGAGAATAGATTTTAGTCTGACAGAAAGGTTGAAGAAGAGGTTCAGGCATACAATTGGTTTGACTAAGTACATCCTACTAAGTATATTTCCAGTGCTAGGATTGTATGAAGTCATAAAAAGGAACTTTATGATTGAATGTCGATAGAACCATTGTTTTAGAACAAAGAAGTAATTCAATATAAGCCCAAATGAGTGAACTAATAATAGTGAAAGTTTAGCAACTTAACAGTTAAGTGGGACAAATTTTGGGTAGAAAATATTTCTGGTTACCAAAAACTAACACTATATTTGTAATGTTTGTTTCTTGTTACAGATGATGCTGAGTTGCATGAATCATGCACTAATTAATGCACTTATTAAAAAGTTAAAGTATTTGCATGTATTATCAGTCTTTTGTTTTTTGCAGACACTCAATAAACATATTACTCTTGAATAGGGATTTTTAAGTTTATATATGAATTAATGAAATAAAGGTAAAGATTAAGTCCCAATGCCTAAAATGCACATTTCTACATTGAATATATCTCTAGGAACATGGGCAGGACCTGGAGTAAGTGAACTCACATGCACTCTTAAAGAATTAGAAATTTATTTTACTGTTTAATCTCAAGTTTCATGGCAGAAACTTTTGGGAAATAACATGGCTCACTAATTATGCTGATTTTGCCACAGCATCCCAAGATATATTCCAAGATGTTTCATTCATGGACCAACCCATCCTGAATTCATATTTAACCATTAATCATGAGAAATCTAAGTGACTATATCTAATTAAGTGCTTATTTGAAGGATGTAAGTACATTAAAGCTAATATTAAAGTAAAGCACATATGGTGGGATGAACTGAAGTCTGGGGAATGGCGTGGAGGTGAATTATTAAATGGTCAAATATTGAAACATAAAGGCTCTTTTGCATAAGGCTGGTTACCAGACTGGAAGGCCCAGACACACTTCAGGCTTTTTTAGAGCAGACATTCTGCATATCACCATATGCTCAAAGAAATTTTGCAATTTTATTATCTGTTCTACATTTCTTTAGTTCATTGTATCTACAGCAGAGCGTGAGTTTTCTAATGCACCTGCACAGTTTGATGTTTACAAAAACGGCAATTACGATGATGTACCATTGAAATAAAGCTTTGCTGGATAGAAATTAAAAAGTGAAAACAATGATCTGGTAAAAACTATTATTTGTCAGGCATTCCATTCATCAAAATTGCAATTAATTTCTTCCTTTCCATCATCATTGTGGTTGAAACAAAGGCCAATAATCTCACATCTGGTTACAGATTTAGAAAGAGAACACTTTCTTCTTTCACAGTGCTCTGTAAGTATGGTGTTTACATTGTTAGATGAGATAGTTAAAATTCCCTGGTGCTCGATGTTTTATATTTATTGTGATTAGACTCTAGAGAATTTGCAACCTAAGTATGGAAGTAGTGTTTGATTAAGAATAAATGCTTTAAAACAGCCTCTCTTGCTTTGAAATGTCTGTGTTGTCGTTATAACTTGAGAAAATAATGCCAGTGCGTTGTTAGCATTCACTTTACATTTAATATGAAATCATGACTACCTTTTTGTACATGAACTGCACAGTTTACTAGGGTTAGCACTAATCTCATCATCTTACTGGCCACCCAACATTTTGTTCAGCGTGCATCAACTTCCTGTGTAAGTTCTTTCATGTTCCCTTCCCTTTCTTGCCTTTCTACCCTTTGCTTTCTCCTCCCTTCTCTCCCTCTAGACACTGCCACTAGTGTCAGTTTACAAAGAACATGGCTTTAAATATGGTCCTTCTCTCCTAGCTTAGTGTTAGGTTTTATGTCATGGTGTCTCCTTCACTCTCTGTTTCCTCTTGATAATTTTTTCAAATAGGCAATTGTGTTTATTTGCTAAGACTGCCATAAAAAAGTACCACAGACTGTGGACTTATCAACAGAACTTCATTTCCTTACAGTTCTGGAGGTTAGAAATCTGAGATCAAGGTGTCAGCAGGATTGGTTTCCTCTGAGACTTTTTGCCCTGGTTTATGGATGGCCTTCTTCTCTTTGTGTCTTCACATGGTCTTTCCTCTATGCAAGTCTGTGCCTTAATTCTTTCCTCTTGTAGGGACACTAGTCATGTTGGGTTAGGACCTGTCCTAATCTAATGACCTTACTTTAACTTAATTACCTCTTTAAAGATTACATTTCCAAATGCAGTGTTATTCTGAAATACTGGGGTTAGGACTTCAACACATGAATTGGGGGTGAAGAGGGGGTGACACAAATCTGTTAGCAACACTATTCAGATACCTCAGTATCATTCCGCTTAATCCTCACCTTTCACTATAGCCTCTTTCTTTGAACTTACCATTCAGCATATTCTCGGTATGCTGCTTTCATTATTCCTCAAATACTGCTCAGCCAAGTCTTATGTCAGGTGTAGACCTCAGACCCAAAATACGTGGTCTTGATTATTATGGATTTCAAGAACTTATTAAGTACATTTTGTCTACCAAGTTAGGTTCTAGGTAATGGGCATGCAACAGTAAACAGTGTTTACAGTGTTCCCAGACAGACAGTGCACCTACTGATATGAATTTACAGTCATTTTAGCAGGAGACAGAAACTAAAGGAATACATAAAAATATTTGTCAAATTGTAAAAAATAATTATGAAGGAAATAAATGGTATTTTATAAATATAACTTTGGTTAGGGAGAGGGGATGTGAAAACTTTAAATAGTTTCTCAGAAAGGCATTTCTGAAGATTGACCTTTGAGCTAAAATATGAAAGATGAAAAGGAGCTAGCAAAATGTTGGAAAAAGAAATTCACCGGAGGAGAGGGTAGCAGGAGCAAAGGTCCGAATGCACCAAAATGTTGGTGTGTTCCAAGAACAGAAAGCAGGTCAGTGTGGCCAGAACACACGCAAAGGAGTGATGAATGAGATGATGTTGGAGAGAGGTAACAGCCCTGGATTTTGCAGAACGTTGTAAGCTTTGATGAGGAGTGTGGCTTCTGATCAAAGGCCTCTCTACCACTTTGGTTTCTACACACAACTTTTAGCATCCTCCTAGGTTGATACTTTTCTTAGAATGACTTTCTTTCAGTCTGTCTTAGAAATGCATCATTGGAAATAATTCCACAACAAAAACAGAATGTGGTAACCCTTTTTTATTTCTGTATTGCTGATGAAACTAATGCTTTCAAGGTTAATACCATCATTATATTAAACTTTTTCAGTTTACTATTTAGCTTTATCTGTCCATGTCACCTGCAACATCCCATACACTTCTCTGTATAGTGCTAGTTTTACATACCCCTGTCAAAAGCCTCTTCGTAAATGAATCAAGTAATGTCAACATTTACTAATTGCCCACAATATGTTAGACACATTTATAGGAAATTAGAATGCAAAGTTGGATATAAGATGATTTCTCCATCAAGGAGTTTATAGTAGCAAGGAAACAGCCAGACATTAAAACAAAAACAAAAACAAAAAACTTAAGGTGATAAGTGTGATAAAATATTCTATTACCACAGAGGATTACTCTAAACAGGCAAGGGGTTCAGAATAGCAGTCAAGGAATGGAGGTAGAGATGCCCAAGATTTTTAAAAATTATTATTAAAATACTGTTAATTAGCCAATTAAGAGAAAAAAAAGTTTTGAGGGATAAAGCAGAATGGGCCACATAATGTGTCTGAGTTATTTTCTTTAGATAAATGTATGATTTAAAATACCAGATTTAGGGCATCACATTGCATTGGGTGTCATTGGCTGTCAGATTGTTCACCTCAATCAGTCTCATGAAACTATTGCAGAGATCTGAACAATCTATTGCATCCTGTTGTGTACCAAAAGGCAGTTTTGTTATTTATAATACAGACCTACATCTCCAAGAAAGATTAAAAATAGTTGTATAGGCCGGCCGCAGTGGTTCACACCTGTAATCCTAGCACTTTGGGAGGCCAAGGTGGGCAGATGACTTTAGGTCAGGAGTTTGAGACCAGCCTGGCCAACATAGTGAAACCCCGTCTCCACTAAAAATACAAAAAAATTAGCCAGGCGTGGTGGTGGGTACCTGAAATCTCAGCTACTCAGGTGGCTAAGGCAGGAGAATTGCTTTAACCCTGGGAGGCAGAGGTTGCAGTGAGCCGAGATCATACCACTGCACTCCAGCCTGGGCGACAGAATGAGACTATGTCAAAAAAAAAAAAATGTGGTATAACAAGGCTGTGACATATTTTTCTCAAGTCCTGTGGTAAGCAATTTGTGTCTAATCTGGTGGCAATACAGGGTGGAGAACTAGACTCCTCTATCTTGTGGCTGGGTCATCACTAGAGTGCTGTCCAATCCACATTGTTCAACATAGCTTGCCACCTTACCAGTATTCTGCCAGCTGGAAAGGGAAAAGGCGATAGAGAGAGCATGTCTCTTCTGTCAGGTTAGTAAACAGAAGTTGCAAACCTCACTTCCACTCATTCTGCTGGCCAAATTTTAGTCCTATAACTAACTACAAATGCTAGGGAAACTGTGAAATATAGTCTCTATTCAGGCTGGCCAAGTGTTAAATGAAGTGGTTGAAGATGAGTATTGGAAATAAGCTGACTCCACCACTGTAGCAGAGTGTAAGTGTATTTTAGAAAGCTAGGTCTGAATTTCTGATCTTTTGACAATGGGCAAGATATTATTCATTTTAGGTCTGTGATATTGTATTAGTCTGTTCTTAGGCTGCTAATAACGACATATCTGAGACTGGGTAATTGACAAAGAAAAAGATGTTTAATGGATTCACAGTTCCACATGGCTGGGGAGGCATTACAATCACGGCAGAAGGTGAAAGGCACGTCTTATGTGGCAGCAGGCAAGAGAGAGAATGAGAGTCAAGTGAAGGGTATTTCCCCTTATAAAACCATCAGATCTCATGAGACTTATTCACTACCATGAGAATAGTATGGGGGAAACCACCCCCATGATTCAATTATCTCTCACTGGGTCTCTCCCACAACATGTGGGAATTATTGGAGCTACAGTTCACAATGAGATTTGGGTAGGGGCACAGAGCCAAACCATATCAGATATTATCTCCAAATTAGATATTATAATATCACCTTTTATGATTGCTCTTAGCTAAGACATGAAAAGCATAACAGATTTTGTCACATGAAAAGCCCTCAGGAAATATTACTCTGATTATTTTTAATTAAACTATTAATATTAATTCCACAGACCATACATCCGTCTTTTCTGGACTTGAATTCCCCTTCCTTATTGCATTGTCTGCCAATAGTTTACAAATATACACATATTAGAAAAATCACTTTATCCTTTTATGATTTTGTTTCTTCCTCTGTAAAAATAAAGGATTCATATTAGAATGTTAATAAATCCCCTTTTAACTTAAAAAATCAATTGCTCTATCATACACTTATTTTAGAAGAGTGGCAAATATTTAATGGCTATTACAATTTCTTGTTACCTGACAAACCCATTTTGGGATGAATACTTCTATTAGGAAGTATAGTAAGCCTCCTTACTATTTGCTAAACACACAAGTTTCACTACAGCAAAATAATCCTACTATTTCTACTTTTTTGTGTGTTTGTCACAGGGCACATACAATTGGTTATATGCACAATGAACTCTCTGAGCTTCCAGAACGTGTAAAATTAATATTTTACATTTTGCAGTAGTGGAAAGAGCACTTTGGAGTCTAAAGAGCTTAGCTTAAGTCCCTCAGATATATTACTTGCATCTGTATGCTATTAAGAAAGTTATTTTGACTTTCTTTGTATTCATTTATATAATTGGAATATGGATGTAAAAATTTTGCCTGCCTGATTTTGAAATTTAAGGGAAATAATCTGTGAATGGCTGTAAATCATAAAGAACTGAAGAAAACAAGGGATAGTTATTATCTGAAATTTCCATGAGTAGTCAGCCCATGACAACTTTGCTTGAGATTTCTAGTAAGATTAGAGACACTGAATTGTCATGCCATCTCCCTTGCCTTTTTTCTTGCAGGGTAATAAGGATACTGCTGTATTAGTAATTGTTTTCTTCATATGTTCTTTTAAACCCCTAAATATTGGTACCTATTTTTTCTACATATATGAGTTTTTCTCACAATTACTGAAACATATTTTCTGTAATCATTGAGGTTGTTTCCATAAGCAATGACTGAAACATTGAAGTCCCAGTGACATCAGTGAGTCTGGAATTCTATGGCTGTTATTGGTGCTGATGCTAATCCGTGCTCTCCTTCTTGATGTGGAAAATGTTGTGCTTGTAGATGATGATGCTGGCTTAGACTTCACATAGCTTAAATCTAACTTAGGAGATGTAGCCTTAGTTGCAGAGTTAAATTCATGTAGTTAGCTCATAATTTAAGTCAGTTTGTTTCTGCTTTTCTGCTTCGTTGGCTGTAAACTTTGATTAAGAATCACTGCTGCCTGGCTGGGTGCAGTGGCTCACGCCTGTTATCCCAGCACTTTGGGAGGCTAAGGCGGGTGGATCACGAGGTCAGGAGTCCAAGACCAACCTGGCCAAGATGGTGAAATCCCGTCTCTACTAAAAATACAAAAATTAGCCGGGCATGGTGGTGGGCGCCTGTGATCCCAGCTACTAGGGAGGCTGAGGCAGAGAATTGCTTGAACCCGGGAGGTGGAGGTTGCACAGTGAGCTGAGATCGCGCCACAGCACTCCAGCCTAAGCAACAAAGAGAGAATTGGTCTCACCCCGCCCCCGCAAAAAAAATTAAAAAAAAGAATCACTGCTGCCTGTCTACAAAACTCTGAATCAATCCTGTGTTGCTTTAAGAAAGTAAGAGTGGTCTTTAGAAATAAATTACTGCTGGTAGATAATGCAATAATTAGTGCTCATGGAACTTTAGAGTTCACTGATTCCCTAAACAGAAAATTTGTATAAAGAAGCACAGATACAATATTTTTACTTTTTTTATTTATGCTTTTGCTGGTTCTATTTAATATCTCTTTTTTGCTTGTATTATTTTGGATTTTAAAATTGAGCCATCACTCTCTAAAATTCAAATCTGAAAAATACATTTTTACACGAGGAAAACTCACTTGAAATTTTATGTTATTAGCTAGGTTGAGAGACTTTGCCAAGCACCTTATTTCTGAAGGTAGTGTTTCCCCACAAAAGAAATTCTTTAGGTATCAGTTGGAGCATTTTAATCTCTCTTTTTCCCCATTTGAAGTAAGCTGATGACATAGGTACAAGTGTAAGTTGACCCTTCTCCAAGGCTAATTATCTCTTTCTTAATACTTGGAAACTATGATCTTAATGGCTTTCTTGCTGCACTTAAATGATTCTTCATATCCTACCTGCTTCTGTCCAATTCTTTATAAAGAGAAAAAGTATTTTAGGACATTCATAGATATGCATGCAGTGATTCTCCATTAGTAGAGACTGGTAGTGTGAATTACTGTAGTTTAAGAATATTATGCCTATCAGCCAAAGAGCACCACTCAAGCTAATGGAGTCTTTATTTCCTGTAATCACTATTCTACCCTTTGCATATAAGCAAAGGGCAAAGTACCAAAGAACTACTTTAGAAAAAAAAAGAATAGTTAAGAAGACATGAAAAGAAAAATAATTTCCTCAGAGATTTCTGGGTATGCGAGACTTTTGATATTGTGATATCCCCTCAATATTTCCTCTTGCAGTATTCATTGTTCAGTTTTACATTGGGATGCTTATACACTGAAGAAATTTAATGTTAGCATTAGAAGCTTTTTTTCATATAACCCCAAAAGTACACAAATAAAAAGCCTCAATAAAATGGAATAAAAATGTTTTTGTTTGTTTGTTTGTTTCCTCTGTTTCAGAAATCAGAAGGCTTCACAAAAACATGTAAAAGTGGGCCGGGTGTGGTGGCTCATGCCTGTAATCCCAGCACTTTGGGAGGCCGAGGCGGGCGGATCACGAAGTCAGGAGATCAAGACTATCCTGGCTAACACGGTGAAACCCCATCTCTACTAAAAATATAAAAAATTAGCCGGGTGTGGTGGCAGGTGCCTGTAATCCCAGCTACTCGGGAGGCTGAGGCAGGAGAATGGCATGAACCCGGGAGGTGGAGCTGGGAGTGAGCCGAGACCGCGCCACTGCACTCCAGCCTGGGTGACGGAGCGAGACTCCATCTCAAAAAAAAAAAAAAAAAAAAAAAAAATATATATATATATATATATATATATATATATATATACACACACACACACACACACACACACACACATATATATATGTGAATTTAGGAAAAGGAAACAACAATATACTAAACATATTTTTGCATGAGAGAAGTCTATTTTAAGTGTCATAAAACTGCCAGTTAAGCAATTTCATAAGTCATTCAAAAACTTAGAGAAATGCAACCAATTTTATATATGTGTATATGTATAAGATTTAGTTTCATAATCTTATGTTGCAATTATAGTTTATTAATAACCATCAAATATAGTATCAATTGATGTTTATTTAATCCATTTTACAACTGAGAAAATTTAGCTTTAGAAAAGTTCAATCTTTTTAAAGATATATGCCAATAGGTATGGGCTGGGAGATCTGAATCTAACAACTTTCCTTTGCAAAACTTAGTAATTTAAATACAGTTTGAAATTTTTCTAAATATTTATCCTTATTCATTAATAATCTTCTACATTAATTTGGAATTTTTGTTTCATTTTCCATGTAAAATCTTTGTTCTGTAAATACTTTTTGATTAAAAAATATGTTCAGAAAATAGTTTTAGAATATTCTTTTGCCGAAGCAAGTTTTTTAAAAGTTGCGGCTTGGGCAAGGAGTCTTTACAAATCAAAGCTACTGATGGCAGTGGCAGCCCATCTAAAGTGGCTGCTGCTGTGGCACCAGCTGCAGTGGGGTAAAGGGGTAGGCCGCGGGTCCTCAGGTGCCCAGGTGGGCAGTCCCTGGAACCTACCCCCGGGAGCCACCACTATGGGGCCAGGCTGAGCCACCTGCCAGCAGGCGGGCAGCACAGTTGGGCATGAAGGAGAGGGTACAGAGGGGCTCTGAGGCAGAGTAGGGCCCAGTGCTTTCATACAGAGTGCTAGGGCTGGGCAGAGATGTGGAGCTGAGGCTTTGCTTGAGGTGCCTGCAGGGAGAAGTGGGAGTGGCACCTCCTTGGAGGACCTGGCCAGCGACGCAGCCACTGCACCCACCTGGCTGATGGTACCAAGTTCCTGAGCCTTGAAAAGAGGCTCTGTGTGGGGCCATCTGAGGTCATATCCTCAGGATCTACCCCGCATCATGGTGACCACTAAGTTTGACATTCCCAAGAGCTGGACCTGGAGCCCACGATCGTCTCCAGGACAGGTGCGTGAGCCCGTGGGAGCCAGAGACAAGCAAGAGCCCCGCCCCTTCCAAGCTAGCCAGGCAGGAGCTCCCAGGGTGCAGCTGCGGCCAGCCAGCTGCTGCTGTGGACCCAGGCATCCCTGCACTCTCGGGGCCCAGGAAGGCCCCCCTTTCCCCTGCAGGTTTGAAAGTGCCTGCTTCTAATGCCTGGCTTCTCCCCACTGTTGGTGCCTGCTCCGATCTTGAAGCAAAGTTAGGGCTGAGCCTGGGTGATGTTGCAGCCTGACTGTGTGTGCACATACTAAGGGCAGCACTGACACACCAGCCCCCTGCCACCTCAGCCCTCCTCTGGACTTTGGGCACAAACAAGCACAGGAGGGAGGCCAAGGGGGTGCTGAGGACAGCCCAGTGCTGGCCTGCAGTCACCCTTTGGCATGAACAGCCTGGGCACCATGAACAGCCACAGGAGGCAGATAAGCTCCTGGGCTGAAGAGAGTGGGTCCCTGGTGAAGTCCTACCTTCGAGCTGGGGAAGGCCTGAAGCCTGGGTGCTGGGCCACTAGCCCAGCTGACCAGAGGGGGAACTTGTGGTGCTTTCCTTGGGCCTGCCCTTGGCAGCCCATAGACCAATCAGCACACACTTCCTCCTCTCTGAGGCCCATAAAAACCCTGGAGTCAGACAGATTGAGGAGAGGGTGGAGAGACAACAGGATCACCAGCTGCAGAGAGGAGCTACCCTCTTTGCTGAGAGCTGAACACTCATCTAGCCAACCTGCCTAACAGAAAGGAACTACACTCTCTGCTAAGAACTGAGCTACACTCTCTGCTAAGAGCTGAACATTCTCACAGCCTGGCCCCGTAGCGGTGGCTCCCAGGGGTAGGTTCCAGGGACTGCCCACCTGGGCGTCTGCACCTAAGGACCTGCGGCCCGCCCCTGTACCCCACTGCAGCTGGCGCCACAGCAGCAGCCACTTTAGATGGGCTGCCACTGCCATCAGTAGCTTTGATTGGTTGGAACACTGTGGGTCTCCTCTGAGCTATTCTATCACTCAATAAAACTCCTCTTTGTCTTGCTCACCCTCCACTCATCTGTGTACCGCATTCTCCCTGGATGTAGGACAAGAACTCAGGACCTGCAGAATGGCGAGGCTAAATGTGCTGTAACACAAACAGGGCTGAAACATGCCACTTGCTCACCATGTTGTGGATAAAGAGGAGAGAAGAGTTTCCACCCTTCTGGGAGCCCAGACCTGGGAGCTCCATGAGCCAGGGCTGTGACTCCGTCTTTGGGGCTGTGTAGTTCCTGGAGTCCTCAAGCTTCCAGGCATCATCACACTTCCTGATGCCAGCTGTGGAAGCTTCCTGCTTCCTGGCTATGCCTGGTCCAGCTGTGGCCTCACAGGAGCTGGTGCCCATGCTGGCATCTGAAGCTGCCTGCTCGATGGCAGCAGCTGGCATGCCTGGCTATGCTCAGTGACTGGACCCCACACTCGCTTACACACCCCTCACCGCTCCCCAGCTGGCTCGCCCTTGGCAGGTGTGAGATCCAGGCTGGTAGTGCAAGCCAACCAAAGCCTGCCAGGCAGAGTTGTCAGAATGAGCCCAGCAGGCCACAGCAAAACTTGGGCAAAGGCATCACTGGTCACAGAGGTTTCCAGCTGGTGAAGTGACACTCCAAGGATCCCATAACACTACTGGTGAAATTTTCCACGGGGATGAGGAAGAGAGGGTTGTTTGATTTTCTTTTGAATCAAGGGAATAGTTATTGGCTATTGTCTAGTCTTCATAGGATGAAAAATTACTCCATATGCTTATTTTTTTTTTTATCATTTTTACCTTGTTTTTCCCATAGCACTAGGAAATAGAGATGATCTAAGATGGCTTATACAAAGTAAATTAATCAGCAAAGGAAACTACCCTAAAGGTCAGGCAGTTAGAAGCCAGAGGGTATTATCTTGTCAAACTTGTACAATGAACAGTGAGGGAAAGAAACTTAGAAAGTTTGAATTACTGGCTGGGCGTGGTGGCTCACGCCTGTAATCCCAGCACTTCGGGAGGCCGAGGCGGGTGGATCACAAGGTCAGGAGATCAAGACCATCCCGTCTCTACTAAAAAAAAAATCCAAAAAAAATTAGCAGGGCGTGGTGGCAGGCGCGTGTAGTCCCCGCTACTTGGGAGGCTGAAGCAGGAGAATGGCATGAACCCGGGAGGGGGAGCTTGCAGTGAGCTGAGATTGTGCCATTGTACTCCAGCCTGGGCGACAGAGCGAGACTCCATCTCAAAAAAAAAAAATAAATAAATAGAAAGTTTGAATTACTTCCTTAATTCCCCAATGACTCAACCCCAACACTTTGCAGGCTACTTACATATACAGTTGTAAGAAGGAGATTGCTCTTTTCACATATGTATACATGTATATGTATGCATATAAGTATGCCTTCATTTGTAACTCAATATCCTAAAGGATGAGGATTGCTAGAAATTATATGACACTAAATTATTCAAAGCCACTTATCCGTTTCAGAAGATATATAATGGAAGTCTGTATTCAAGATGTGTAAAAATATTTCACTGAAATTTTTCTTTATGGACAAATTGGTAGATACCAGAACTCTGTTAAAAATATTACAAATTGGCCGGGCGCGGTGGCTCACGCCTGTAATCCCAGCACTTTGGGAGGCCGAGGCGGGCGGATCACGAGGTCAGGAGATCGAGACCATCCCGGCTAAAACGGTGAAACCCCGTCTCTACTAAAAATACAAAAAATTAGCCGGGCGTAGTGGCGGGCGCCTGTAGTCCCAGCTACTTGGGAGGCTGAGGCAGGAGAATGGCGTGAACCCGGGAGGCGGAGCTTGCAGTGAGCCGAGATCCCGCCACTGCACTCCAGCCTGGGTGACAGAGCGAGACTCCGTCTCAAAAAAAAAAAAAAAAAAAAAAAACAAACAAAAAAAAAAAATATATTACAAATTGTACAAATCGTACTTTAAAATCTTTCCTGTAATTTTTTTCAGCCATGTTATATGTTCAAGCAATTTAATTGCTCCTTTTTATAAAGATTTATGCTTTTTGTGTTTTCAAAAAGGGAAAGTTCAGGAAAAGCCATAGTTGAATGTAGCATCCAATAAACATGTTCCTTATAAATGAGATAATGAATCTTTGAGAACTGAGGGAACTACTCTCACTTATTTATAACTCTACTTAAATTCCAAGATTCCTAAAGAGAAAAATCAAAGATTGATCAGACTAGCCTTAGAAAACATTACCACGTATTCTGTAGAAGAAATAGTGTTGTGATTTTAATGAGTACCACACAGGCTAAGGGTAGATTTGCCTTATTCTTCTTCCTAAAATCTTAAGGGTGAGTTGAATTATAATGAATCACCTGCTGTATATCATAACTGGTGGCTGCTGATGTGTAATTTATACAACCATACTTTTGGTTTAAGCTGCATTATTACCTTATTTGTCCTTGTCTAAATTTATATTTCAAGTATTTGATTGAAATTGAAGATGATATATATTGTACCATTAAGTTCCATGCTTAGCTGACAAGTCATTTCACATAGCACTACAAGGCAAAGAAAATGTACTTTAGTAGAGATATCATTGGCTTTTTATGGAGACAAAACAGGTAAAAATTTAAGCTCTAATATTTTGTACATGTAAACTTGTGAGCAACTTATTTAACCTCTCTCTATAATCTCAGTTTTCTCGTCTATACATGGGAAAATAATATTCTCTTCACTCATTAGTACTAAATCAAATACCGTATCAAACATTTTTGATGCATACACTTTTAACCCAGAATAAGTAATATAAAGATTGACTTTTATTTTCCTTCTATTTTATTCCCTTCAGCTCCTCCTTTTGACTTATTTATGTGATACGATTGTCATTTGTTCTTGGGAATACACTGTTCTTTTGGTTGTTTCTTGTAGACATATATATCCAAAAGTCCAATCTCTCTTTGGTCTCTGCCATTGTCAAATAACTAAGAGAGTTTGTTCTTTCCTGTGATTGTGAACTGAGCAGATAGAAACTGACCATTTGGTAGATCCCAGTAATGTAACCCAAGGCACCTGAGGATCAGGGTTGGGCTCATAAATATGACTGAATTTATGTTTCGCTTGGAAAAATAAAGTGGGAGGAGATGGGCAGCATTCAAATCAGTTCTTAGTTCCAATTTTAGGAAGAGTTAGCTAAGTAAAATGTGCCTGACTCATTAAAACATGGCCATTCAACAATGACCACATGATTCAAATAGAAATATGAATAACAAGATATCTTCTAACTCCTAGGTGTTACAGTAACAGCATGTACCGCATGTCTGATTTTCTTATTTAATAATGGATATTATTCTCAGTTTATAGGAAAGCAAACTGGGACTCAAAGAAGTTTACCTGTGTTTCATTTAAAATCAAATGAATGGTAGAACTGAAATTTAAATGAGTAGCTGTCTACAATGCCTGTTTTCTTAATCTATCTGGGCTGTGATGGCATATTGTCATAGACTACAAGGCTTATAAACAACAGAAATTTATTTTTCATAGTTGTGGAGCCTGCAGAGTCCGTGATCATTATGCTGTTAGATTCAGTGTCTGCTCAGGGCCCACGTTCTGGTTCATGGATAGCACCTTCTAGCTGTGTCCTCACGTGGTGGAAGGGTCAAGGCAGCTCTTTGGGGCCTCTTTTATAAGTGCACTAATCTAATTCATGAGGACTCTGCCCTCATGACCTCGTCACTTTCCAAAGACTCTACCTTCTAGTGCCATCATACTAGTGATTAGGTTTCATTGATGATTTTGAAAGGAGCAAACATTCAGACTGACATACTTCTATTAATCATCACAGGTTAGTGGTGACCGCAGGTCTTTGAATGAAAGAATCTCTATCACTTTTCAGTGGCTTTAGAAGTAAAGAACATGGCAGATTTGAAAATTCCTTCAAAATTCCCAATTCCTAGAAGCTCTGTTGTTTTCTGAACTGTCAAAATTATTTTCTGTCTTTTTTGCTTTAGTTCAAATACTATTTTTCACTGAATGATGTATGAATGTGTAGCAACTTAATCAAATTGCCTAGAATTGGAGAAGAAAAAATATCCCCATCATATTTTGTTCTTCTGTGAATAACATTTGACAAGTAAAAATGCTGTATAAACAATAGTTAATGGAGAGTGTTTGGCTTTCACACTTCATTCTCATTCTGGTGATATAAATCCTCACAGGAAGAAATATCGTGTTTTATTAATTATGATCCTGAAGAAAACAAAATAAATAAAAAATAGTATTGGGGCTGGGGGTAAGGTTGATATGGAATTACACTGAAATCTTAAATAATCTGTTAATGATGGATGGATTTGTCTTTTCTACTGTCGAAGTTGTTGAAGCTGCAAGGCTTTTAGAGGTAAGAGGTGAAGAGGATATAAACGCATTAGAATTTAGAATATGACTTACTAGATGGATTTATGTGCAACACAGGTGAAGTCATATTTTCAGAAATAAAACTACATAGATATGTGATCGATATAAATGCTATTATATCTTCTTTTCTTTTCTTTGATCCCTACAAAGCTCTGTTGTCACTCGAGTGTGATGTGCAGTGTTCTATAATTTAATTTCCAACCAGTATCCAGATTAATTAAAATGTAAGTTAGATACTGTTACTTTATCATTATCTCTTTACAATCTCCTTAAATAGGGTTTCTAAACTGCAATACTATTGACTTTTTAGGCCAGATAATTATTTGTTGTGAAGAACGATCCTATATCTTGTAAAATATTTAGCAGCATTCCTGGCTTCCATTCACTAGATGCCAGTAGCACCTTTCCCTCCTAGTTGTATCAACTAAAAATGTGTCCACACTGCCAAATTTACCCTGGGAGGCAAAATTGTTACCTGGCTGAGAACCATTGCAGCAAAGACACTGTATTGAATTCAAAATAAACTTCACACTCTTTATCTGAGCCTACAAAACCCTACCATAATCTACCCATATTCAACTTTTCACACATTATATTAGATAATATTCTTCTATTCTTACTCTTTTTCATACATACTTACCTTCTTTCTATGCTTCCAAATTGCCAAGTTTATTCCCAACTTAAGAGCCTTTAAATAGGCTCTTCTTTTAACTCGCACGGCTCTTTCTCAAGATTTTCATGCAACTAGCTGTTCGTGCCTGGTATCAGTTGCCACTTCCTCAGGACCTTCCTTATTTCCTCTACTTAAAATAGCCACTTTCTTTTTCTATTGCATCACCTTGTTTTATACTTTTCACCAAGCTTATTACTGTGTTTTGCAATTTTTGTACTTTTAAAAAAATCCTCTTCCACTGAAATTTAAGGTATATAGTGCTTTGATTTGTTCAACACATTTTTATTAAACATAATATTATTCTAAACATGAAGACTATAGTATTAAAATATCAGACACATGCATTTCAATAAATTCATGAGCTGTAAAATCAATTACAATTTAATCAGAAAAAAGCTCAACTTAATTAGGACTAATATAAGAGGTAGGATAAAGATTTATCAACCTGTGTCAAAGGTGATCCTTATTAAAATTATTTAATTACTATTATCAATAAGATAATTAGCTTAAATGTTAACCATTAGAATAATATGACAATGAATGGAATATGACTTGAGAATAAAAGAGAAAGAACAATATGAAAATGAGTAAATAAAATACTCTCTGCATTCTCCAGGTAGCTCTAGGTAGCTCCTAACCTCTCCAGAGATAGCTGCTTTCCGCTCACTCTTTCCATTGCAGTACTGTAGCTCCACTGTAATAATTAACATGTTACCTCCACTTAGTTACATGTTTCTTGGGGAAAGACCTTTCATCTAGATATCTCCAGTATTTTTCGCAGTCTTGGTACAAATTGGCCACCAACACATATTTATTTCTCTGTTGACTCTCTGGTGAATGTATAGTGTATGGGTATTGATTGCTTTGTTTACAAATCTTACTTTACTTATTTACAGGTTATTTGATAATTATCAAGCACTGTTCCAAGAATGAGGATTTCAGTATTAGGTATGTTTTGCCTTTTCTTTCTTTTATCTTCTTTTTCATTTTCATGAAAAAATGCTAAAATAATTTTTTAAAAGATAAGAATACTAAACTGACTGGGGTTCACTGTTTAAGCTTTACTTTTCTTTAATTTCAAAGCCTGCTACTCAGTCAATGAAATTAATGATGAGGAAATTGAGAATCAATGAAAGGAAATATGTTCTTTGCTTTATGTGTAGTCAGGTAATAGAATACTCTGACACAGATGAGGTCAAGTCAAATAATGTGGTTGGATATGAAAATAGAGGAGATAGCTTTATCTTCATTCATAGCACTTATAGTTATTACTCTATTGATCAAACACAGGGAAAATTTATCTTTTGCTTCTAGGCATATTGATATGTTGATTGTCTGCAAAGATAAATGTGCCATATTTTGATC
This sequence comes from Homo sapiens, assembly GCF_000001405.40. NCBI lineage: Eukaryota > Metazoa > Chordata > Mammalia > Primates > Hominidae > Homo > Homo sapiens. The sequence continues at coordinate 39,779,076 of NC_000011.10, read as the reverse complement.
TTCTGGGAATTTATGTTTCAGTGTGAAAACATGGGAGGGCTCATGTGTAGGATTTATTCTGGTGCTTCCAGAAAAGGTTTAAATCAGACACTTAAACTGAACTTGTATGGCAAATAAAATTATTCAAATCTCATTCTCTGAGACTTTAAAAAATAAGCAATGAAACAATTATTAAAGTAAAAACGAATAGAAAGATAAAACTTATAGTAAATATCCCTTACATAAAGTAACACTGGATTGATAGAAAAAGAGAGAAAAGTGCTTACTGCGTATTAATTCTGCATTAGACACAGTTTAAAGGGTCTTATCTAGTTATCCTAATGATTCCAGGAAATGATAAAGAAAAATATTCATTGAAAGAAAATTATGTGTTAGCAAATATTACATGTTCTATGTATTGGTACGTAATTTAATATTCAAAATAATGCAAGAAATAGTTACTGTTATTTTTATTAAAGATCAACTAATAATGGTGACTTGTATGAAACCAATAAAAAACCTTATAGCTCTCTGATAACGAAGCATACGTTTAAGCCCCTTACCACCATATTGTCCAAGAGAAAATCGAAGCTCATAAAAGATAAACAATTTAGTTATGGTGTGTCACAGTAAAAGAGGAGGAGAGAAATTTTACAAATCTCTGGAACATGCCTTTCAGAGTAAAGTGACTACTGCTTTCTTATCTTCTATTTAGAAACTTCCCTGGGCAATTGCTTTACCACAAAAATGATTTTATTTGAACATTTCAGGTGTGCTTTTAACAGAAAAAGGTTTTCTTTGAAAAATGAAATAATTTGAGAGTAAAATTTAATTTAAATATTATCCTGCAAACATTCTAATATTTGCAGGGTAATTAGAGCAGAATTCTACAAAAAGATCCATCTATGTTTCATCTCAGTATTCATTCTAGTGTCCCAAAGGCTTTATTCAAGGTAGTCCTAAGCATCAGGAAACAGGAAACTGTGTATCAAGAAACAGTAGCATGTTGGGTAGCAGGCGCATGCACAGCGTTGAATGGGAGAAGTATTTCATGGGAATTATCAGTAAATCACTTTTCTAATTTCAAGTTTACACAATGAATGGAAACAAATTAGTTATATCCTCAAGAACAATATCCAGACATAAGTAGTTACATAGAATGTGAGGCTTAAATTTATTTATATAACTTGTTAACATGTATTTGTTCAGATAAATATTTATTGAACTTCTTCTAGTTACCAAACACTGTTTCAGATGCTGACTGAGTATAAGACATAATTCCTACTCTTACATAGTTTACAGTGTAGTTGGAGAGACCAGTGTTTTTCAAATAATTGCATAACAGAAAACATAAAAATATAAATTGGGTTTAGTTTTAAGAAAATATACGTGACAGGATGAAATGTAACAGGGAAAAACCCTAACCCAGAGGATCAAGAAGGGCTTTCCTGAGGAAGTGGATTTTGACTTGAGAGGTGAAGAATCTGTATGGAAAGTGGATGTGGGATGAAAATATGGGCAGTGCATTCAAGGAAGAAAGAAAACACATTCAAAGTGACTGAGAAAGAAAGGATAAAATTTGAGCGGCTGGTGAAAGAATAGGGATTGGAGAGAGAAGTTGTAAATGAAACTCCCTTTCTGGCCACAGGCACCGGCAATCTCAATCTGTTACAATAACACATATTACTTATTTATGTGACCTGAGTGCTACAGATTGGCTCTTGCTTGGTTCTCCTGGGCCGTTCTAGGATTAAGCTTGGCTTCGGTTTGCTCTACTTGGCTTTTTTATTTTGGTACACAGTGACCCTGGCTGTTCTTATGGTCCAGGACAGAAGTTTAAAAGAGGACAGAGTCATGACATGCAAGAGCATTTAAAGGTTCTGCTAGGGAACGGTGTGTCCCATTATTGATCACATTCTTCTGGCCAAAACAAGTCACATGGCCAAATCCAGTGAAGGAACAGGAAAATACATTCTGCTTATATAACAGCATGGTAAGGTAGAAAAATAAATAGATGATTGTGAACAAATAATATACTCTACCCCTGGCTTCTTTTTTATCTCAAATATTTATTTTCCTCCTGTGAACAAAATACACTTGTATCTTCTCCAAGAAACCCAGAAAGTTAAATCACACATTAGACTCAAAGTCCCGGATCTCATGATCAATCTGAGGTTGGTATTTAACTCCTTTTGATCAAGGAATCTATCTACTGAAAATACAAGTTATCCACAGATAGGTAAGTTAAAAATACTCAAAATACAGACATACAGTAGTAGAAAGGGAGCAACATTACCCATGAATACTCACATTCAGAAAAGGGCAGAAGCAGGAGAGGGCAGAACGGTCACTGGTCCTAATTGTTTCTGAAATCCTGCGGGAAAATGTTATAATTTCCCTTACTTTATAATAGGAAAATTTTCTCCCCCAAGTAGTTTGAGCTCCCTCAAAAAACTCAAACTACTTGATGCCAGTCAGTTCCATATGCCAATTGCAACACCAATTCTTTTTGCTATATGCCTCTCTCTAGACTTAATTAAGGGTACTTTGAGCTTATCAGACTTCCATCTAACCATATGCTGGATCTCTTTTTCTGAGCCATTTTGTCTAACAGATAGGATTTACCGTATTGGGGCCCAACTTAATGCAATGATACCATATTTATTCTTTGCCCAGAGGCTGAGTCTTAACTCAAGAGTCTTTTATAAACGAGAATGCAAAAAGTTGCCTCTTTCAACTCTGAAAACCATGGAATTTCTTATCTTTGTCTTCTCTTTCATCTCTGATTGTGAAAAGACCAAATTATTTTCTAAACTCACTTAATTCAGAGCACCTAATAAACCATAATTCAACCTATCTAAATTCTGCTTTGAAACCTCTTCAGCCAAAGCCACAGACCTATTAGGTACTTTTTCTTGCCTTCCATTTTTATATTTTTCACTTACATGAGAATTTTAAACTAAATATGTATTTGGGATCTCAGAAAACTCCTGGCCAATCCCTTTCAGGGTTGGAAATGCTCAGTTACAGAAACATACGGCGACAGTCTCTGTGATCTACCCACAGAAAGAAAATGATCTCCAAAGTAGGAAATCATTTATTGAAAATAAATGAATCAGTGATTATATTTACAAATATAACTAAGATTTTAATGAAAAACCTAATACCAGCTGTCTTTACCATTAAAACAACAACAACAACTCATCAAATCAATGTTGGAGGATTCTTTTCAAAATTCTGTAGGAAAATAATATTTGCTGGTTTAAAGATCTTAAACTTCAATTACAAATTTTACTTCCATAACACAACATTTACTAATGTATTGATTCATATAATTTGTTCCATTTACACACTGTATTAGTTATCTTCTGTGACACAAAGCTACCTAAGAAATAACACCAGAACCTCTGTGATTTATAAACACAAGTTTTTTTTTTTCTCACCTTACATTTTGATTTCAGGCTACACTCTACTTCTTTTTCTCTCTAGTTTTGAGGATAGATTAGCAGAAGAAGGAAAAGGGAATGTGGCCAACAATTCAATGACAATGAATAATTCTGCTTGGAGCTGGCACATGTCACATCCACTCACATTGCATTAAACATAGCAAGTCATATGTACCAGTCCCTTCTCACACTGTTATAAAGAAAGACATGAGACTAGATAATTTATAAAGGAAAGAGGTTTAATTGACTCACAGTTCTGCATGGCTAGGAAGGCCTCAGGAAACTTACAATCACGGTAGAAGGGGAAGCAAACACTTTCTTCTTCACAAGGTGGCAGGAGAGAGAATGAGTGCCCAGCAAAGGGGGAAGACCCTTATTAAACCATCAGATTGCTGGAGAAAGCACTCACTGTCACAAGAATCAGCATGGGGGAAACTGCCTCCATGATTCAATTATCTCCATCTGTTCCCTCCCACGACATGTGGGGATTATGGGAACTACAATTCAAAATGAGATTTGGGTGGGTACACAGCCAAACCGTATCATCATATAACCAACCTCAAAATAAAAGGATTTGGGATGTAAAACCTTATCATCATATAACCAACCCAAAAATAAAAGGAGTAGGGATATAAAATCCTTCTGATATGGAGGGGGAGAGGAGTACATCATAAAGAAATAAAGTTAATTTTTTATAAATAATAATTTTTCTGTGATTTTATATTTTTACTATATATTGTATATAATTGTTTGAGTGTATATTCATATGTGTTGACAAAATGTTTTAGAGAAGAGGCAAACAAATATTTCAGTGAAAAGGTTAGAATGATTTGAGATGTCACCATGGTGTAATGTGATGTGAAACTATACTGACAGACCGAATGCTTTATGTTCCATTTGTATTTAGAGAGAAATAAACCAATAAGCCTTCAGAGTCTTGTGACTTGGAGAACAAGTTTACATTAATTAGTGTTCCTCTCAGGCTCCAGTTGGCCAATATGTAATGAAGTGCAAAATGAGACATTTGACTGTGCCAGTGAGCCATTTAGCTGAAAGATACTACATAATTGGTTTGAAGTGCTTCCCACTCACTCATGTCATGTATGGAGGTCTGGAGTGGTATTATGGGATTACAAGGTTATAGGATGGTGAACTAGACAAGAAAGCATAGGCTCTCACAATCCCAAAATATTAAACAGGTTTTTGGGAGCATCTCTCCAATTTTATTTTATGATCATATTAACATAAAGTAACACAGAAACTAAAGTAACCAAAACTTCTGCTCAGTCCCTGTTTGCCACAGTTGCCCATTTTTATAAGATATCCTCGCTCTGATCACCTTGGATATTTCAGATCTTCTCTACTATATATTCCACTGTGCATTTATGTTAAAAATCTTATGAGATTTTATTTGCCTATGGATTTATTAAATAATTTAAAATATTATTAGAAGCAGGTAATATAGCAACATTTGAGCATGCTTTATTTAAACATAGATTCTTACGCATAAGTTCAAACATAGGAAATACTGTGTAGGTTACATCTTGTCTGTGGAAATATAAAAGAGTTAAAATCATGTTACGATAAAAAAAATAAACCTCGCAAAAAGTTTTTGAGACAACACAAGCAACATCTTCGAATTATAAAATTTTAAAGTAGAAAAGGCACTAAGAAATCTAATACCAATGCCTTTATTTCTATAGGAGGAATCTTGAGAGAAATGAATCTTGAAAAATGTGTGTGCTTGAAAGTTAGTGGCAAAAGTAAGATTATTTATTCATTCATAAATTTGTTCATTTATGCAAGCATTTACATATATTTAATAGTTAACATATACTGACTAAATATAATGTGCCTGGTACAGGTCTAGGTGGTAGGGATGCAACAGTGAAAGACAGGATTTCTGCTATTTGGAGATTACAGTCTAAACAGAAAAACAAATATCAAAAATTACCTAGACATTGGTTACCATGACAAAGGAAAAGTAGAGAATATCATGGGGAAAAAAAGAAAGCGAATAAATTCGAACCCAGAAATGATTATTCTAGGCCTCATGCTTATAACACTCCACATGTTTTGCAGCTCATTGTTATGGCACTCAACCTGTTCTCCATCCAGTGAAAATATTTCCTGATTCTAATTAAATTTATGTGTGTCTGTCTCTTATTTAGCCAAACTCCTTTTAATGAAACTTTAAGCTAATTTCATTTGTTTTTGTGTGTGTGCTATTAACAAATAATACTTCAATGAATGTTCTACACATGGCTCCTTCTCACATGTGCAAATGCATCCATTGGTTGTACCATGATATAGAATTGCTGGGTATAAGAAAATGCATATTTAAAATTTTAACTGATGCTTTCAGATTACTCTCTGTGAGTATCTGTACTGATTTATATTCTCACTTAGCATGTCAGATACTTGCCAGTAGCTGATATTGAACATTTAATGCTTGCCAATCTTACATGTGAAAATGGTTTCTCATTAAAGTACATATCTCTTATTTCTAATTATTTAGAGCTTTTGATTGAATCTTTTGTCTGTGATTTTTATTTTATTGCTTGTGCTTTTATTGATCTTAACAGTTAAATATCCTTCAACTTTGCCTGGATCATTTTATCTCCCCCATTGTCATTCCAGAAAAGCACCTGTGTTTTCTCACATGGATTACTGTAGTTTCCTAACTGGCTCTATGCTCAGTCTACCTAACCCACCCCTCAATCTATTTACCATATGCAGTTAGAAGGACCTGTTTCAAAATTCTGATCTGACCACATCATACCTCTTCCTTGGCTTACATCATTTCTGTGGTTTCACACTGCTTTTAAGGTAAAGATCACCATCATGAACATGAACTAAAGACACTACATGAACTTGTGCAGGAAGGCAGGTTTCCAAGATGACCTTGGCTGATCTGGCTCAGCCCCACTCCTGCTTGTTTCTCAGAATAACTGTAGGATACTACATTATGAAATAAGGAGGAAATGTCTGAAACAACTCAGGCTGTGTCCTTGTTTCTGCCAGAATGGGATGTCTTGCAATGCTGTGTTCAGCAACCCAGTATAAAACTGAGAGTAGAATGCTTTCAGAGTCCCTCAGCTGCAGCGTGATGTGCAGCATTACCAGATGAGACTTCCTCTTTACTGGGGATCTTTCCTGAGCCTTGGGGGAGCTGCTCACCATGAATCCCAGGCTTCTGTTTGTCCTTGCTGCCTTTCTGTGAGTAATAAATTTGCTTGGCATGACTTGATGTGTCAGTGTTTGGTCTCATTGGATTAGACCTAAGAATGTAAATGATATAGTTATATCTGATGTGGAAGCTGAGTCTTCTTGGATCCCCTGCTAGAGTCAAGAATCCTTGTAATTTGGCCGGGCGCGGTGGCTCACGCCTGTAATCCCAGCACTTTGGGAGGCCGAGGCGGGCGGATCACGAGGTCAGGAGATCGAGACCATCCCGGCTAAAACGGTGAAACCCCGTCTCTACTAAAAAAAAATACAAAAAATTAGCCGGGCGTAGTGGCGGGCGCCTGTAGTCCCAGCTACTTGGGAGGCTGAGGCAGGAGAATGGCGTGAACCCGGGAGGCGGAGCTTGCAGTGAGCCGAGATCCCGCCACTGCACTCCAGCCTGGGCGACAGAGCGAGACTCCGTCTCAAAAAAAAAAAAAAAAAGAATCCTTGTAATTTTTCTTTAACTTTCTCTAAAGCTTCTCCTTGGGCTATGTTGTCTTCCAACAACACAGGCCTTCCTTTAGTTCCTGTAATATGTCACATCCCTCCACAACCCAGCGCCTTTGGACTTACTGCTCCTTTCTTCCTGCATTCCTGTCCCTTCAACTTCCCTTAATTAACACCTACACACTTTTCAGATCTCAGACTTGTCACAATTTCTTAAGAAAAATCTTTCCTCTACTAAGTGAAACTCTCCCATGGAATGTTCTTTGTGATATCTGTTTTGTTTTATTATTTATTTATTTACTTGTATATTTTTGTTTGCCACTTTAGTATCTGTTTTCCTTAATCAACTCTAAGCTGACTGAGGTCACAAATGGTATCTGGTTTTGGTAGCCATTGTATTTTGTGAGCCAGTATTTTTTTAGTGTCTGGAAGATGTTACATGTTCAATGGTTGAAAGAGTTAAATGAAAATCTCATTTAATAGCACCCTTCTACATCTCTTGCTCTTATTCTAGGATCTTGACAATATACATAATTTAAAGTCTTCTATATCCTAACGTATGCATAAAATTTCCCTAGGTGTTCTGATTTGGACAGATTTCATAGTTCATATGCAGTGTTCTCATTTTAGCTTATTTTTAATTAGTTTTCAGTTACTGTTTGCTTTCCTCTGTAATAAAGATAGTAATTTATGTAGACATTCGTAGTTCTAAGTGTTTGGATATTTCGAGCTCTCTTTTAATTGTTCATTTCCTAATTAATTGCATTCTAGTCAGATAACATGGGATGTGTGACTCATGCAGTTGATATCTTCTGGTTCTGATTTGTGACATGGTGGTATTTGGGTAGTGATCCAAAAATATTTGAAAAAATGAACTCCCTGTTTTTTTGGATAGAAATGAATTGCCTGATAATTAAAAAGAGTTAATCGGAATACTCAAACATCTTATACTCATTAAACTTGTTAATATTCCTCAGAAGATTTTATGTCCTTTTTTTGTTCTGAGAGGTCTTTTGGGGTTCAATAGGACATTTTCCCTTCTAACAGTACTTGGAGATGAATGGTAGATTTTTTTTTAACTTTTCTTTCTACATTCCATCCCTTTGTTTTATGTTACATATGTTCACTCAATAAACATTTATATTTATTGAATTTACTAAGTATCAGCTCTGGGAATACAAGTCAGCAAAACAAGAAAAATAATTGCTTTTATAGAATTTACGTCCTAGTGGGGAGCTTACATTTTAGTGTAGATTGCATTTTGCATTCTTTCATAACCTTTGGCTTGAACATTTACATTGCTAATTCTACATTAAGTGCTTTGTTCTATTAAACCTGCTTCTTCAGGTGTTATGTCTTTTGTTTGTTACATTGATCACCAAAATTTAGTACTCATGTTTTCGTATCATTTGTCCTAGGTATGTATTGCTAGGACTTGACTACTTGATATAGAGAGAGGTCAGGACAGATAAAACATTCCTATCATTTGTCTTCCGGGTATGCAACATCCTGATGGGTTATTACAGATAAATTGGCCTGTTTTTCTCACTCTGGTATGTAACAATACTCTCAGCAAGAGACAAAGCAGCAGAATATAGTTGCATTAATTCTCAATGCAATTTTTCAAGTAATCGCCCTAACATTGACTCCAGGGACCTCTGCAACTCATTATACAACTATTAATTAACTTTAAACTGAAGTATCTCTGTCTTTGCCATTGACTACTGCATTCTCTATTGCAAATAATTTGGGATATCATTTAATTATTTTTCCTCTAGAGCTGATTCCTCTTTGATGATCTCTTCAATATTATGAGTCTTTCTTATTTTTAGTACTATTGTGTATTTATTATATTTTAAAATATAATTATTTTAAAGTAACACTGTGTGGGATGAATATGCTTAGCAAATGCTTAGTATGCTATGTTGAGTTAATCTTTTATAATTATTTTATAGAACAATTTGTCAAAATGTGTAAAATTTAACATTCCCACTACCTTTTACTGGATAGTGTTTTTAGGAACTAATCTAAATATATATATCTATATAGCTATAGCTATAGATATATATAAAGATATATACAGATCTATATAAAGATATATATATATATTTATCCCTTTATATATATAAAGATAGCTACAGATGATTTTGTACTTTAGTTGACTTGGTTGTAAGTACCTCATATATTGGTCCAAGGTAAGTTTTTGAAATGTTGAAAAAGGGTTCTCCTTTATAATCTATCAATTATAGGAATTAAAAAGCAGGATGATCCTAATCTATCAAGTAAATCATTTTATGTTATTTTATTTATTGAATTGCAAAGTTCACTGGAGGTTATGCATTTAAACATCTCCCAAATTAAATTAGCAAAACAATTTATTTCCTGTTATGTTTTTTGAGGAAAAAGGATGATATTCTTTCCACTATCTGTATCTGCAGTTACAGCTAACTCTGTCACATCCAACTGCCAGTATTTACAGAAGTGTTCCAAATTAATTTCAAATAAAATTTAATGATTTATTTCAATCTGTTTATAAAGCAGAGACGTGCATACGTCGATTTTTGATAACTGGATACTTTATCTGATTGTTAGCTAAGGAAAGTTCTGTTATTTTAAATATTGCTGTCCTTGGGAATCTTCTGGAGATTTACGTAAAACAAACAAAAAACAAAAACAAGTTTTTTTCTTTTACAATGTCCAGATGCAAAATTTATAAGTTAACTCCTGTTTGCTGTGTTCCTGCAATACTCATAGTTGACTATATGAATGATCTGACATATCAGCAACTAACTGATGTTATAATAACGAGCTTGCATTCTCTCTCCTTTAAGTGAGTGTTTTATGAAGTTAAAATATATGAAGAAAACCTTAATATTTAACTCTTGGTAGGACTGAGAAAACAGAAGTCTTTCAAAACCTGGCAATGTTAGACAAATAAGATGAGGCATACTTAGGAAAAGCCATTAAAACAATACTGTCAAAATAAACTCCAAAAATCAAAGACTCTGTTTAGTATTAGCATGTTTACAAATTTTATTGTTTCTTGTTGTACACATTGTACATGGAACTTTTTTTGTTTAAATAAAAAAATTTTTAAAACCCACACAATTCTATTAACATCTGAGTTAGATTTGGAATATCACACATTAATCTAAACCTCTTACTCAGTGTAGCTTCGGTTTCACCTAAGTCACTGTTGTTGTAACATGAGGTTTTTTTGTCTTTCATTTAACCATATGATTGAAACATATGATTTTTCCTTTGCTCTTTATTCACTTTTTGTTTATAACAATAGTTGTAATGATATTGGACATTTATAGGGGGATTCTATTTAGAAAGCAATAGATGGAAACGAATATGTAAAAAACATCAGGATAACAAAGTGGAATTCAAGACCTAATTTGTCTGTACCATCTTTTGAATCTGAGAAAATTCAAATGTTATATATTCATTTATTTTTATTTTATGAACAAATGTATAATGTTTAAACTGCAAAACTGTTTGATCAATGTCACTTACTAACCAACAGTGTGGACGAGGTCAATAAAGCTTCATTCTCAGGATTGAAGAGACAATTATTTATCTAGGACAGTGTCCAGCACATGCTAGAAGCTTAATTACATAGTAATTTTTTTTTCCATTTATGATTCCAGTTTCCTGAATGGAAAAGTGGAGCTCAAATAGTGAATCCCAAAAGGAATTATGACATCATATATTTCTCATATATTATGAAGACAAATATTCAGGGAATGTATACAAAAGATAGCAAATAGCTCTAAACTCACATATCAAAACAGAGTGATTGGTCTTTGCTGGTAGTGGTCTGGCTGATGTTTGGACTGTCAGCAAGAAAAATTGCTAAAACTGATGAATGATGAATAATATTTGGTTTGTGTATAGAAGTGTTGGTTCAATACTACATCCATGCAGATTATTTTCTATTCTTTTTTTTTTTTTTTTTTTGAGACAGAGTCTCCCTCTGTTGCCCAGGCTGGAGTGCAGTGGTGTGATCTTGGCTCACTACAAGCTTTCCCTCCCGGGTTCACTCCATTCTCCTGCCTCAGCCTCCCGAGTAGCTGGGACTACAGGTGCACGCCACCACACCCAGCTAATTTTTTTGTATTTTTAGTAGAGACGGGGTTTCACCTTGTTAGCCAGGATGGTCTCGATCTGCTGACCTTGTGATCTGCCTGCCTTGGTCTCCCAAAGTGCTGGGATTATAGGCATGAGCCACCGTGCATGGCCTATTTTCTATTCTTATATTAACATTTTGTGTAAGCAGGCTTGTTTCTTAACATATGCTCCTCTGAAATTGAAGCTGAAAGTATTATGACTGGTTCCTCTTTAAATGAAGGTACTTTTCAGTCTGAAATGGCCAGATGCTTTTTTTAGGTTTAACGTGTTAAATATAAATACATAGAGATAGGACGAAGATGGCAGATCGGAGACATGGTGGATAGGAGACAGGGCCAACGTGCAGCTCTCACATGGATGGACTGAACAGCATGTGGAGACTCACACCATGATCTTTTGCTCCAAGAACCACCCCAGGCACATACCAGGAAAACCTAAAGAATTCACAGATACTTTGAAAAAAGTGGCACACCACTGCAAATTTTGTGAAACAGGAGAAAAACCATGAGTTCCCAAAGTGTGAGGAGGGAAAACCTACCTCCAAACACATATCACCACTGGGAAATCTGAAAATCCACATCACATGACTGTATCTCAACTAAAATTAAGATAATTGCAGGTAAAATAGTTCAGACAGTCTTGATTTCTTGGGCATCTATGGTGCTAGTATGAGTTAATTTTGTTGTGAGTATTAGGGAAATAACGTATAGGACCAGGGAACTAATTAGGAGAATAATTATGAGAGCATGGCCATGGAAAGTGAGTAGTTCTTCTATAATAGGGGATGTGGCATCTTGAAGGCCTAATTGAACTGGATGAGCCATTAAGACATACAGGATTTAACCTATAAATTAACTTTGACAAAGTTATATAATAATTTTACTAATATCTTATCGAGAGAGTCATAGAGGGTATGGGATTGGCTTGAAACCAGTTTCTGGAGGTTTGATTCCTTCCTTTCTCGTTTAGGTTTTCATGTAGGTTGGTTGTTTGAATGTGTGGTAAAGTGGTGAACAGCCATAAAGTCACTCTAAATTAGTAGATGATTGTTCAATTGTTAGCACTTTCCGTTTTGAAGCAAAAGCTTCTCAGATTATAAAGATGAGTAGTATAATTGTTGTTAGATAAATGAGCCTATGGATGAGATAATTTTTCATGCAGCTGTATGCATCAGGATAAGGAGTAACGTCAGGGCATACCGGATAGGCCAAGGAAGTGCTGTGGAAAAAAAGGTTAAATTAACACCTTTGAATATAATGGTGAAGTAGATTTTAGCATAGGTCTGATTAAGTGTGTAACCTGAAAATAGGGAGAATCAGTGGACAAATCCTCCTGTAATGGCGAATAGTGCTTCTATTGATAGGACGTAGTGGAAATGGGCTACAACATAATATGTGTCATGTAAGACAATATCTTGTGATGAATTAGCTAGTACAGTGCTGGTTAAACCTCCTACCTTGGAAACGAAAATGAATCCTAGGGCTCAGAATATTGCGGGAGATCATTTGATGTTACCACAGTACAGTGTAGCTAATCAGCTAAGGACCTTGACGTCAGTAGGGACAGCAATAGTGATGGTAGCCGAGGTGAAGTATGCCGCTAGTACCACATCATTAGACCAATTTCAGTTAAATTGGATTCCTGTGGTGGCAAGACCCCACTGAATGCATGTCTTTTGTATGCCAGAAACTGTACTATGTTGTAGACTATATGCTTATTTAATTTTCACAAAAACGCTGTGAATGTAGATTTTAATATTACTGTGGAACACTTTCACTTCGATAAAATGAAAAGATATGTCAAAAATCAGACTATTAGTAAAGTTTTAAAGTCATCTCAGTTTGGCTTTTTCTACCATGTAATGAAAGTCAGTAGGAAGCTCATATGGAGCACTGGGTGTTCCTTTCTTTTGTGTTTCAAATATTTTCACTTACTTTTTCTCTTGCCTGCATAAAGCTATGGAAAACACTCAGTGATAACTTATCTTGCTGACGAGAGTAATATTAAAAATAGATTTTGCAGGATATTAATATAAATAATTCTTTAAGTGGATCTTGGGTGATTTTCAAAACAAAAGTTAAGAGCAAAGAATTCTTCTAGGTAGACGATATTGGCCTGAAATTAAAAATGCATTGAAAAATCTAAAGTGAATGTTACTGGTTTGAGGAAGTCACTCTAGCTTCTAAAGAATTTTGATAAAAATGAATTAATGGTTGATTTTGATCTATGATTTGAGCTAAAATTCCCACACTCTATTCCCATCTTCTAAGTGCTTTAAACTAATTTTATTAAAAAAAAAAACACTCTTTCAGATAAAGAGGTGAAAAATTTATTTCTCTGTAGAGATAAACTTTTCCATCAGCTATTCTTAATTACATGTAAAGACCTAAGTTTGCATCCTATAAAGTGTGAATTTTCTATATCTATGTAAAACTATGCCGTTTACATTTTTATTTTTAACATAAATTTTTATATTTAAAAAAATTCATATATTATTTTTAAGGTTATATTTTTGTTGTCATAACATTAAAATAATTAAGCATTTTGACCCACAATTTTAATACATTTACTTCAAAAAGATACTTTCCTTTTAAAAATTTTGTCCAATTTTAGCTGCTTTTGTACTTATTTACATGACTGTAATTATAGTAGTTTGTTATTCTAATTTTTAATTTTATTTGCTATACATTATATAATAAATTCACAATTATTGAGGATTTTACCATCTGACTCCCAGTTACCTTTTATATTAATTTTCTATCATCACAATAAATGATTTTTACAGTCTAGTAGATATGATAGCTAATAAAACAGACTTGAACATTTTTTATCTACATAACACCGGTGCCTCATCTTCACCATACACTAGATATTGGAAGTGGTACAAAGGTATTGTCAAAGATGGAGAGGTGAGCAGTTGTAATTGCAAACAGTCTTTAAATTCAGCCATTCCCTAGCCAAGTCCCTAGCTGACCACAGATCAGGAGAAAACCTTGCTAAGATCAACCAGCCCCAGCCCAAATCAGCAGAATGCCTCAGCCAACCCACTGTCTTATGAGAAGAAACAACTGATTGTTGAATTTAGCCTAACATCTTTTGACCAGCAGAACTTTATTTGTGATAGTATTGTGGAAACAAATCATAGGCATTTCATACTACCTTAAACTTAATTATTTCTAACCTTGAACTTATCATTTACTCTACTGATCCCTCACCTTGTAAATCTGAAATTTTCTCCTGAGTTATTCATTTTGGTGAATAGCAGGAGACACTGTGCAATTTCCCAAGTCCAAAACATCTGTTTATTCCTTTCTTCCCTTTCATTAACCTCCAGCTTATACATTTTTACCAATTCTAGTTCATTTTACCCTATACTTATCTTCAAAATTTATTGACCCTTCCATACTAAAAATTCCTTGGTGTAGTCCCTTTTTATACCTTGTGTAAACATTTTCTTTTTCTTTTTAACTAGGTTTAGACTCATCTTTCCTTCATCAGTATTTCTCTCTTCAAAAAAAAAAAAAAAGTAACCTTACTTTGATACCACATTCATCTTTCTCAAATGCAAATTTGCTCAGGCTACTTTCCTGCTTTTATCCCGTTATAAATTTTTGGAAGAGAGTTGATGACTTTGATGGTGTAAAAGGCCCTTTGGTGTATGGCCCTCATCTTTCTATCTGTCCCCAGTCAGATCAGTTCTAGAATTCACGCTCTCGTGCTTTTGTATACATCTTCTCATTTCCTGGAATGACTTTTAAGCCATTATCTACAAAGCCAACTCTTTCTTATGCTTCAAGATATACACCAAGTTTCACTATCACTTAAAATGAGGTTGGTTTCTATAGCTTATGTTATCTATAATGCTCTAAACACACCTCCATTGTGTTTATTTCAACAAATATTTAGCATATTTTAATTTATATTATACTCTTGAAGGCAGGAGACATCTTATATGACATAATCTGATTCACTCCATACATTATAAAATAATGCTTTTTTACTCTCTCTTTTTTTTTTTTTTTTTTTTTGAGACTGAGTCTCGCTCTGTTGCCCAGGCTGGAGTGCAGTGGCGCGACCTCAGCTCACTGCAAGCTCCGCCTCCCGGGTTCACGCCATTCTTCTGCCTCAGCCTCCCGAGTAGCTGGGACCACAGGTGCCCGCCACCACGCCCGGCTTATTTTTTTTGGTATTTTTAGTAGAGACAGGGTTTCACCGTGTTAGCCAGGATGGTCTCGATCTCCTGACCTTGTGATCCGCCTGCCTCGGCCTCCCAAAGTGCAGGGATTACAGGCATGAGCCACCGAGCCCGGCCTTTTTTACCCTCTTGAATTATGTATTTGGGAGACATTACCAGGAGTGACGTTATAATGTTATGAATCAACTGCACCCAAAATTAACAATAACAAAAAAATTTAAAAAATATTTTATTTAAAACTTTCTGCTTTTCTATTAATTACTAGAAAAACATTATAAATATTAAATATTTTTAATTTTTATATATCTTAGAACTTTAAAATAATTGGAAATGGGAATCTCTAACGTTTCCCTAAGTTAAAATATACTGCAGAAGTTTACTTACACTAGGGGATATCATACCTTATCTCTCTATAGAGTCTGAGATGCATGAACTTGGGTATTTCTTGGAATATTTTTCGATAAAAATATAATACAAGTCAAGAAGCCTACCAAAACATAAAAAATCTAAACAAATATTTCTAATAATTTACAGAAGTAATAAACTTTTGATTTGAATGAGCGTTTATTGATGATCCATTTTCCAAGACATTGAGAATGTCTTAGTGTCAAAATTTTTCTCAATCTTTATTAGTAATATGGGCATATATGTATAAGACGAATATTATAGCATTATATTCTTACTCCAGGGATATTGGCTTTTTTGTTTATTTGTTTGATTGGTTTGCCTATATATTTTGTAAAATTTTATTTGATGAGTAGAGCTGCATAAGAGAAGCCAACAGTGTTTTAATGAGCATAAGGAATGATTAACGAATTGCTACTTACTGAAGAACACTAATATGTTACAGAAACTTCAAAAAGATCCTGTGTAAATATGAATTGCATTTATTTTGGGCCATTTTTTTTTATTATTATACTTTAAGTTTTAGGGTACATGTGCACAATGTGCAGGTTAGTTACATATATATACATGTGCCATGCTGGTGTGCTGCACCCATTAACTCGTCATTTAGCATTAGGTATATCTCCTAATGCTATCCCTCCCCCCTCCCCCCACAAGTTCAGTTCACATTGATTTTTATTCTTTTGGGGTTGGATGAGCCTTTTTTACTTTTCTTCCCTTTGTTCGCTGCTTTTTTAAAAAAGGTATCTTAGTGGCATTTTTGATGTGTATTTTCAGATAATCTTATAAAGTCTCATATAACTATTGTTTTGAATTTGTAAATATATATTTTTACCTGATCAGTCTAAGGTATAAACTCACTAAATGACTATAATTTAAAAACTACTATGATCTGTGTTTTATATTAGATATACTGAGTAAGTACTTGTCATTACACAGTTTATTTATCCACTTAACGGATATTTATTGAATGGATATGAATACAGGAATAATTCTTTTTATTGTACTTTGCTTTATTGTGCTTTGCGGAGGTTGCATTTTACAAATTGAAGGCTTGTGGCAACCCTGTGTCAAGCAAGTCTATCAGTGCCATTTTTCCAACAGCATGTACACTCTTTGTGTCTTCATGTCACATTTTGGTAATTCTCACTATATTTCAAAGATTAAAATTATTATTATATCTGTTATAGTGATCTGTGACCAGTGATCTTTGATGTTACTATTGTAATTGTTTGGGGGCACAACAGACAGAGCCCATATAAGTCTTCAAACTTAATCAATAGATGTCAGTGTGTTCAGACTACCCCAGTGACTGCTCTTTCCCTTATTTCCCTCCCTCTCCTTGGGTCTCTCTTTCCCCTAACACAAAACAATATGGAAATTAGGCCAATTAATAATACTTTGAGGGCTTCTAGGTGTTCAAGTGAAAAGGAGAGTTGCACATCTTTCACTTTAAATCAAAAGCTCGAAATAAGCTTGGTGAGGAGGGCATGTGGAAAGTTGAGCTAGGTTGAAAAGTAGGCGTCTTGTGCCAAACAGTTTGCCAAGTTGCGAATATATATCAAAAAAAGTTCTTGAAGAAACAAAAGTGCTACTCCAGTGAACACACAAATAGTAAGAAAGTGAAACATGCTTATTGTGATAGGGAGAAAACTTTAGCGGTCTGGATAAAAGATCAATCTAGCCACAACATTCCCTTAAGCCAATCCTAATCCAGAACAGGACTTAGCTGTTGTCTACAATCATGTGAAGGCTGAAAATGATGAGAAAGCTACAGAAGAAAAGTTTGAAACTACCAGAAGGTGGTTCATGAGGTTTCATGAAAGAACATACAAGTTCAAGGTGAAGCAGCAAGTGCTGATGGAGAAGTTGCAGCGAGTTATTCAGATATAGGTAAGACAATTAATGAAGCTTGCTACATTGAATAACAGATTTTCAATTTAGATGAAAAAGTCTTTTATTGAAATAAAATGACATTTAGGACCTTTATAACTAGGGAGGAGAAGTCAATGCTTGGCTCCAAATCTTCAAAAAATAGGCAGACTCTCTTTTTTTTATTTTATTATTATTACACTTTAAGTTTTAGGGTACATGTGCACAATGTGCAGGTTTGTTACATATGTATACATGTGCCATGTTGGTGTGCTGCACCCATTAACTCGTCATTTAACATTAGGTATATCTCCTAATGCTATCCCTCCCCCCTCCCCCCACACCACAACAGTCCCTGGAGTGTGATGTTCCCCTTCCTGTGTCCATGTGTTCTCATTGTTCAATTCCCACCTACGAGTGGGAACATGCAGTGTTTGGTTTTTTGTCCTTGCGATAGTTTACTGAGAATGATGGGTTCCAGTTTCATCCATGTCCCTACAAAGGACATGAACTCATCATTTTTTATGGCTGCATAGCATTCCATGGTGTATATATGCCACATTTTCTTAATCCAGTCTATCGTTGTTGGACATGTGGGTTGGTTCCAAGTCTTTGCTATTGTGAATAGTGCTGCAATAAACATATGTGTGCATGTGTCTTTATAGCAGCATGATTTATAATCCTTTGGGTATATAGCCAGTAATGGGATGGCTGGGTCAAATGGTATTTCTAGTTCTAGATCCCTGAGGAATCGCCACACTGTCTTCCACAAGGGTTGAACTAGTTTACAGTCCCACCAACAGTGTAAAAGTGTTCCTATTTCTCCACATCCTCTCCAGCACCTGTTGTTTCCTGACTTTTTAATGATTGCCATTCTAACTGGTGTGAGATGGTATCTCATTGTGGTTTTGATTTGCATTTCTCTGATGGCCAGTGATGATGAGCATTTTTTCATGTGTTTTTTGGCTGCATGAATGTCTTCTTTTGAGAAGTGTCTGTTCCTATCTTTCGCCCACTTGTTGATGGGGTTGTTTGTTTTTTTCTTGTAAATTTGTTTGAGTTCATTGTAGATTCTGGATGTTAGCCCTTTGTCAGATGAGTAGATTGCGAAAATTTTCTTCCATTTTATAGGTTGCCTGTTCACTCTGATGGTGATTTCTTTTGCTGTGCAGAAGCTCTTTAGTTTAATTAGATCCCATTTGTCAATTTTGACTTTTGTTGCCTTTGCTTTTGATGTTTTAAACATGAAGTCCTTGCCCATGCCTATGTCCTGAATGGTATTGCCTAGGTTTTCTTCTAGGGTTTTTATGGTTTTAGGTCTAACATTGAAGTCTTTAATCCATCTTGAATTAATTTTAGTATAAGGTGTAAGGAAGGGATCCAGTTTCAGCTTTCTACATAGGGCGAGCCAGTTTTCCCAGCACCATTTATGCAATAGGGAATCCTTTCCCCATTGCTTGTTTTTGTCAGGTTTGTCAAAGATCAGATGGCTGTAGATATGCGGCATTGTTTCTGAGGGCTCTGTTCTGTTCCATTGATCTATATCTCTGTTTTGGTACCAGTACCATGCTGTTTTGGTTACAGTAGCCTTGTAGTATAGTTTAAAGTCAGGTAGCATGATGCCTCTGGCTTTGTTCTTTTGGCTTAGGATTATCTTGGCAATGCGGGCTCTTTTTTGGTTCCATATGAACTTTAAAGTAGTTTCTTCCAATTCTGTGAAGAAAGTCATTGGTAGCTTGATGGGGATGGCATTGAATCTCTAAATTACCTTGGGCAGTATGGCCATTTTCACGATATTGATTCTTCCTACCCATGAGCATGGAATGTTCTTCCATGTGTTTGTATCCTC
This sequence comes from Homo sapiens, assembly GCF_000001405.40. Taxonomy (NCBI): domain Eukaryota; kingdom Metazoa; phylum Chordata; class Mammalia; order Primates; family Hominidae; genus Homo; species Homo sapiens. The sequence goes on along the minus strand of NC_000011.10, from coordinate 39,759,521 downwards.
TTTTATTTCCTTGAGCAGTGGTTTGTAGTTCTCCTTGAAGAGGTCCTTCACATCCCTTGTATGTTGGATTCCTGTGTATTTTATTCTCTTTGAAGCAATTGTGAATGGGAGTTCACTCATGATTTGGCTCTCTGTTTGTCTGTTATTGGTGTATAAGAATGCTTGTGATTTTTGTACATTGATTTTGTATCCTGAGACTTTGCTGAAGTTGCTTATCAGCTTAAGGAGATTTTGGGCTGAGACAATGGGGTTTTCTAGATATACAATCATGTCATCTGCAAACAGGGGCAATTTGGCTTCCTCTTTTCCTAATTGAATACCCTTTATTTCCTTCTCCTGCCTAATTGCCCTGGCCAGAACTTCCAACACTATGTTGAATAGGAGTGGTGAGAGAGGGCATCCCTGTCTTGTGCCAGTTTTCAAAGGGAATGCTTCCAGTTTTTGCCCATTCAGTATGATATTGGCTGTGGGTTTGTCATAGACAGCTCTTATTATTTTGAGATACATCCCATCAATACCTAATTTATTGAGAGTTTTTAGCATGAAGGGCTGTTGAATTTTGTCAAAGGCCTTTTCTGCATCTATTGAGATAATCATGTGGTTTTTGTCTTTGGTTCTGTTTATATGCTGGATTACATTTATTGATTTGCAAATGTTGAACCAGCCTTGCATCCCAGGGATGAAGTCCACTTGATCATGGTGGATAAGCTTTTTGATGTGCTGCTGGATTCGGTTTGCCAGTATTTTATTAAGGATTTTTGCATCAATGTTCATCAAGGATATTGGTCTAAAATTCTCTTTTTTGGTTGTGTCTCTGCCAGGCTTTGGTATCAGGATGATGCTGGCCTCATAAAATGAGTTAGGGAGGATTCCCTCTTTTTCTATTGATTGGAATAGTTTCAGAAGGAATGGTACCAGCTTCTCCTTGTTCCTCTGGTAGAATTCGGCTGTGAATCCATCTGGTCCTGGACTTTTTTTGGTTGGTAAGCTATTAATTATCACCTCAATTTCAGAGCCTGTTATTGGTCTATTCAGGGATTCAACTTCTTTCTGGTTTAGTCTTGGGAGGGTGTATGTGTCCAGGAATTTATCCATTTCTTCCAGATTTTCTAGTTTATCTGCGTAGAGGTGTTTATAGTATTCTCTGATGGTAGTTTGTATTTCTGTGGGATCAGTGGTGATATCCCCTTTATCATTTTTTCTTGCGTCTATTTGATTCTTCTCTCTTTTCTTCTTTAGTAGTCTTGGTAGCAGTCTATCAATTTTGTTGATCTTTTCAAAAAACCAGCTCCTGGATTCATTGATTTTTTGAAGGGTTTTTTGTGTCTCTATTTCCTTCAGTTCTGCTCTGATCTTAGTTATTTCTTGCCTTCTGCTAGCTTTTGAATGTGTTTGCTCTTGCTACTCTAGTTCTTTTAATTGTGATGTTAGGGTGTTAATTTTAGATCTTTCCTGCTTTCTCTTGTGGGCATTTAGTGCTATAAATTTCCCTCTACACACTGCATTGAATGTGTCCCAGAGATTCTGGTATGTTGTGTCTTTGTTCTCGTTGGTTTCAAAGAACATCTTTATTTCTGCCTTCATTTTGTTACGTACCCAATAGTCATTCAGGAGCAGGTTGTTCAGTTTCCATGTATTTGAGCGGTTTTGAGTGAGTTTCTTAATCCTGAGTTCTAGTTTGATTGCACTGTGGTCTGAGAGATAGTTTGTTATAATTTCTGTTCTTTTACATTTGCTGAGGAGTGCTTTACTTCCAAGTATGTGGTCAATTTTGGAATAGGTGTGGTGTGGTGCTGAAAAGAATGTATATTCTGTTGATTTGGCGTGGAGAGTTCTGTAGATGTCTATTAGGTCTGCTTGGTGCAGAGCTGAGTTCAATTGCTGGGTATCCTTGTTGACTTTCTGTCTCATTGATCTGTCTAATTTTGACATTGGGGTGTAAAAGTCTCCCATTATTATTGTGTGGGAGTCTAAGTCTCTTTGTAGGTCACTAAGGACTTGCTTTATGAATCTGGGTGCTCCTGTATTGGGTGCATATATATTTAGGATAGTTAGCTCTTCTTGTTGAATTGATCCCTTTACCATTATGTAATGGCCTTCTTTGTCTCTTTTGATTTAAAGTTGGTTTAAAGTCTGTTTTATCAGAGACTAGGATTGCAACCCCTGCCTTTGTTTTCCATTTGCTTGGTAGATCTTCCTCCATCCCTTTATTTTGAGCCTAAGTGTGTCTCTGCATGTGAGATGGGTTTCCTGAATATAGCACACTGATGGGTCTTGACTCTTTATCCAGTTTGCCAGTCTGTCTTTTAATTGGAGCATTTAGCCCATTTGCATTTAAAATTAATATTGTTATGTGTGAATTTGATCCTGTCATTATGATGTTAGCTGGTAATTTTGTTCGTTAGTTGATGCAGTTTCTTCCTAGCCTTGATGGTCTTTACATTTTGGCTTGTTTTTGCAGTGGCTGGTACCAGTTGTTCCTTTCCATGTTTAGTGCTTCCTTCAGGAACTCTTTTAGGGCAGGCCTGGTGGTGACAAAATCTCTCAGCATT